>NC_000014.9:70369288-70520803 GCF_000001405.40 Homo sapiens | reverse complement strand
TCAATTGATTTGCCCAGATCCATCAGTGGAATTACTATCTATGGCAGCTATAACCTTATGAAATACATTTCTTAAATACAAAGACTTGAAAGTCAAAATTACTCCATCCATGGGCTGCAGAATGGATGTTGTGTTAACAGGCATGAAAACAACATTAATCTCCTTGTACATCTCCATCAGAGCTCTTGGGTGGTCAGGTGTATTGTCAGTGAACAGTAATATTTGAAAAGATGTCATTTTTTTTTCTGAGCAGTAGGTCTCAACAATGGGCTTAAAATATTCAGTAAACCATGCTGTGAACAGATATGCTGTCATCAAGGGCTTTGCTGTTTCATTGACAGAACACAGGCAGAGTAGACTTAGCATCATCCTTAAGGGCCTTCAGATTTTTGGAATGGCAAAGGAGCATTGGTTTCAATTTAAATTCACCACCTGCATTAGTCCCTAACAAAACCGTCAGCCTGTCCTTTGAAGCTTTGAAGCCAGGCATTGACTTCTCCTCTCTAGCTGTGAAAGTCCTAGTCTCCTTCCAATAGAAGGCTGTTTCATCTACATTGAAAATCTGTTGCTTGGTGTAGCCACCTTCATCAGTGACCTTAGCTAGATCTTCTGGATAACTTGCTGCAGCTTCTACATCAGCACTTGCTACTTCATCTTGCACCTTTATGTTATGGAGATGGCTTTTTCCTTAACCCTCATCAACCAACCTGTGCTTGCTTCAAATTTTTTCACCGCAGATTCCTTACCTCTCTCTGCTGTCATAGAATTGGTGAAAATTAGGACCTTGCTCTGGATTAGGCTTTGAATTAAGGGAATGTTGTGGCTGGTTTAATCTTCCGTCCAGACCACTCAAACATTCTGTATATCAGCAGTAAGGCTGTTTTGCTTGCTTATCATTTGTGTGTTCACTGGAGTAGCATTTTTAATTTTCTTCAAGAATGTGTCCTTTGCATTCACAACTTTGGCTGTTTGGTACAAGAGGCCTAGCTTGGCTTTTGACATGCCTTTCTCATTAAGCTTAATCATTTTTAGCTTTTGATTTAAAGTGAGAAATGGAAGACTCTTCCTTTCACTTGAACACTTAAGCTATGGTAGGATTATAAATTAATGGGCCCAATTTCCATCTTATATCTTAGGGAATAGGGAGGCCCAAGGAGAGGGAAAGAGATGGGGAAATGGTCAATTGGTGGAGCAGTTGGAATACACATAATTTTTTTTGCTTAAGTTTGTCTTCTTATATGGTTGGGATTTGTGGCACCCCAAAACAATTATTATGGTAACATCAAAGTTGACTGATCACAGATCACCACAACAGATATAATAATAATAAAGATTGAAATATTGTGAGAATTACCAAAATGTGACACAGAGACACAAAGCAAGCACTTGCTATTGAAAAAATGGTGCCAACAGATTTGCTCAACAAAAGATTGCCACAAACCTTCAATTTGTAAAACAAAAGCAAAAGAGTATCTGTGAAGCACAATACATTGACGTGTGATAAAATAAGGTATACTTCTATATTGCAGCTTTGGCCAATCTGGCAGTGAGCTCTGGACTGAATATTGCTTGACAAATTTGTCTGAGTTGGGCCAAAATGGTCTGGTCTTCATCCCTTCAGTTTGTTCATTCCCTTGGATGTGGGAGAAGGGCATGAGCTTGGTAGGATGCCTCTTTGTAACTGAGGCTGACCCCAAAGAGCTAACATCTGGATGCTGTCTTCTGATCATAATTCCTGCAGACGGTCAGCAAGTCCTCTCTTGAAGGAGGATCCAAGAGGCATATTTGTGTATTCTACAGTCCAATATTTGCACTGCTCTGACCCACTTTTTTGAATATATTGTGGGAACAATGCCTCCAGGATTATAGTGGACATCCCTTTCTGTGGGGAACCTTAGGAGAAGGAAGTTAATGGGATAAACCATAGTCCCTCTGTAGCATTTGGGATTGAGGCTGAAATGGATACTTATTGTCTCACTCCTCCACTGTCCATTCTAGTTTCCTTGACTGTGTGATATGACCCAGGTCTTTATCTCCAAAAGCTCGGAGCACCAGAGCACCTTCTCAGACTGTGATTGCTGAACCTGTCCATTTATATTCACAATCAGGCTGGGGAGTACCATTAGGCACCTAAGGAGATCACCTGGGTTCTACACATACACTCTTATGTTTCCATCTTGTGACAGAAGCCCTGCCTCCTCCTGATGATTAGGGTCAATCACTTCTGTCAAGAATGTGATCATCTTCTTGGTTGGTGCAAGGACACAGTGAGTTCTAGTGGCAGCTTTAGCTTATAATTTATTGGGACTCTAGCTTTGCCCTGGTGAAAATATGACCCATTTGGGGACCAGGACCTTTGGGCCACAGAGTCCGGAGTTGCAGTAGGCAAGAAGCACAAACCACCCCAATGAGTCACTGTGAGTGACAGTAAGTGGGACCACTCCTGTTTCCAGGCCTTGGTTCCCAGACCCATGTAAAGATCTGTAGTTCAGTGCACACAATTCATTCTGTGAAATGGTAGTATATTGCCTCTGAACAAGCGCTTCAGCTTTAGCTCAGTTGCACCATCAGTAGATATTTCCAATGCTTTATTAGGCTGGCAGCCCCTAGATTATGTTGTCTGATATACAGCCAGTATATACCATGTTCTTTGGTCCCCTTCCAAAACTTCTTCACTGTAAAGTGGTACCTTGGTCTGATATGATATTATACAGAAACACCAGACCAGTGGGTCAAATACTCCAAATGTCTTTGAATATTGGTGCTCACTGAGGCTCACTGCCTTACCTCAGTGAGATAAGGCAAATTCATATCAAGAATATGTGTTTATTACTGTACGAATGAACCACTGGCCCTTCCAGGATGATAATGAAGAATTGTAGTCAATTTCCCTCTATGTGTTCTTCTAGAAATTATGCCAGATTAGGGGATCAGCTTGGTCTTTATTGTTAGTTGGCTGATGGCATGCCTCTGCTGCAGAATCCCAGAGGCATACACTGTGATTCTTTCTCTGGGGCTTACCACAAACTCCACCCAACAACCTTTTCTGTCACAGACACTTTCAACATCATAGGGTCTACTAGGGAGTATGACCCCAGTGGAAGTCTGTTTGCATCACAACCTGGACCTGGTGCAGAGCTCTTTCCTTCTATGGTTTCCACTCAAAGATGACATCATTATATGTTACCAAATATAAGGACCAGAGTTGTGGTCCTAGGTATCAAATTTGCTGCCTCCAGGAACCAAAGCAATCCCCAGGCATTGTGTTTCCTTCTTCATGATAGGAGATGCAGAAAGGAATAATTTGGCCTTACTTTGGAAGGGATAACCCGGCATATTCCTGGCTCTTAGAAAACTAAAAATTTTACTGACACATCATGTCCTTGATTACAATGTATTATTTTTCACAGAGCTTATCTTCCATTTTCTGAGCTCATGTGTTTTACCAAGGCCTTCAATGTCATTACCACCTCTTTTACACCTGGCTTGATCAACATAATGTCATCAATGTACTCGATCAATGTGATGTTATCTGGGATATCCAGACAGTCCTCTCACTATACTATGTTATGACAGAGGGTAGAAGAATTATCATAGCCCTGTGTCCATAAGACCAGTAACCCACTGTAAGTCAGAGTGTTGCTAAGACTTTATTTATTACCCTGTCCTCATATATGTCTTCATTCTAACAGGAAGGTCATCAAAATGTTTTGAGTACTTGGACATTAATGTCAACTCAGTCCCTGTGTTCAATAGTCCTTGAAATGTATAGATATTCCCCCTTCCTTATGCACAGCTATGTAAGTGGCCATAGTTCCCTTTGGTGAAGGGCTGGGGGAATCATTATTATTTATATATTTGCCATGGTTTTATAGCATCCTGGGCCCAAGGCTCTGTCCACGTCATCAGGGAGTGAGTTCCAGGTTTGAAAGAAGTTCAAGTCCATAAACTGGAAAAGTGATTAACTTTTGGGGAGGCAACTGCTTTTTGCTTCCCAGTCATCTATCTTTGGCTTCTTCTATTGGCATAAAGTAAGTATCCTTGTTGGCTGTCTATCTATTTTACCCTTAAGGATTCTAGAATCCTTCCACTACCATCTCCTTAGGTCTTGGCTGCCATTCTGACCTTGCCAGTCTTTATGACAATTGCAACTTCTTATTCTTATTCCTTGGGATGGTTATGTATTGCTCGCTGACCTCTAGGTGTCAGAGTCATATTATCACCAATGCTATCAGCAAGCAAATTTCTGTAACACCCTCCTCCTACTCTGAGCCTGGCTTGCAAAGACTTAATAATGGACCTTTTGGTAATGCCAGTGCTTCCTCTTATTAGCACATTCTTTATGCCTTTGGTAAATGGTGTATTTTCTGGACATTCCTATGGAACATTATCATCTGAAGGCCATGTATAATTCCATTTCAGCATGCCCATTTCCATGAACCTTTTAATCCCATAATCATTATGGCAATTCTGGCATTTCGGCTTCTCTGTATGAGCATTACTTTTTCCATGCTTCTAGGAGACATCCCAGGAACAAATTTACACCATGCCCTAGGGTCCTTGCCAAGATGTAAAATCCTATATCTTGGGAGAGTGAACATTTTTCCCTTCCCAATTTATTGTTTGTCATTTGATTTTTGCATCTCAGAATGTAGTGCCTTTTCTCTGAGCATGCTGAGCACTTTTCCAGTTGATTATGCTGTGACTCAATCCTAGCTTTATGCCTAGTGGCCAAAAAAGGAGGTGGGGGAAGACTCTGCAAAAGACATCTATAGCCTCATGGTGGAGTGGCATCTGCATTCTCCTTCACTATACAGGGGTGAATCACTCCCGTGGATGAGTATATGGAGCGTGAGTGTTCAAAGGATCTAGTCAGATGTTCCCATCATGTGTGTCAGAGTCTCAGGTTTTCTCCACCAAGGTCCTGATTACAGCGCTCCCTTGGTTGGGCATTTAACTTTTATTTATTTATTTATTTTTAGGTTCAGCCACTTGGATTTCTTTATCCTCCCCTGGAAGGAAATGAGGGTCACTTTGTATGCAGTCAGAGAGGATACTGACATTCATGCCTGGATTTTAATTGCCTGTTGCTCACCATCAGCTGTTCACTATCTTGCTGTAGTATATCGAAGGCACTTAGCAATCCAATGCTTTTATTATTCTAGCTCCGATTTCCTCCTTACCTCTTGTGGTAGGCAGAATTCTAAGATGCCCCCCTTGCATCCCATCCCCCTGGTATCTGCCTTTATGTATTCTTCTCCCCTCAAGCTTGAGTGAGACCTGTAACTTGCTTCTAACCAGACTATCGCAAATGTGGGAATTTTGCAGATGTCATTAAGGCCCTTAACTAATTGACTTTAAGTTAATCAAAAGGGAGATTTTCCTGGGTAGCACCAGGTGATCCCTTTTAAGAAGGGTCTGGAGGTAAGACTTAAAGCTGCAGACACTTCTGTTGGTGGCTTTGAAGAAGCCAGCGGCCATGAGTTCTACAACTGCCAGAAAATGAAACCCGCAACAACCTGAGTGAGCTTGGAAGCAGATCTTTCCCCAGTCCAGCCTTTGATGAGAATGCAGCTCAGCTAGTGCCTTGATTGTAGCCTTGTGGGACCCTGAGCCAAAGACCTAGCTAAGCCTGCCCCAACTCCTCACAAATGGAAACTGTGAGATAATAAATGTATTTTGCTTAAGACACTAAGCTTGTGGTAATTTGTTATATAGTTTAGAAAATGAATACAACTCAAACCCTTGCCCTGTCTCATCTGTCAGTGATTTCTTCCTCAGTGGCACATATCCCTAGTCACTACTTATGAGAGTTTTAACCATTGGAATGCCCACCTTGTGCCAGGGGCTGTTTGTACTCCACCTATCACCAGAAATAGAGTCCTTGTTACCAGTTCTTGGGGGCAGGCTAACTCACTGCAGCTGTGTCAAACCGTGAATTAGCTGAAAGCTCAAGTCTGGCTGCTGACCCCTGGGGACACCTTGTCCTTCCATGAGAGAGAACCTGGGCTTCTCATCTTCTGTTATGTTTTTGTTATCTTAGTGTTTCCTTTCCACGTTTCAGTCCTCTGATACTTGTTTAGCCACTTTTGTATTTAACCATTCTGTATGTTGAATTATTGCTTTTAAAGTAACTGACATGCTGTGGTTTTCCTATCTGGGTAATGACTCATATAGCATCTTGAATATATTCTTTCAATTTTTAGCAGGCATGATGTCCTTTTGTCACTCTTTGGCTTCATGGTGCCCTCATGTAATCCTTGAAGTCTACAGACAGACATGGAGAATTGGCTTCTGGGAAGCCTGTCATTAGGTAGCTGGGATTCATCCATTCAGTTCTCCTCAAAGTTGATATGTAACTGAAGCTGATAGAAGTACGTAAGTCTTTAGTTCCTCAGAGGTCCTAATCTTAAAGTGACTAGGGTACTGGTGTCATAACCTTGATGGGGACTAAAGCACAGAGAGCAAGGTAGAACCCCACTAATCAACATTAGGGAACAAGCTAGCCTCTAATCTCAGGAGAAAGCAGAGAAAATAAAACTTACACATGAGTGCAAGGAACAGCTGGCTAGGAGGAAGAGGAATTTTATATCGAGCCCAGGATGTTAGTCTAAAGCTGTTTAGCCAACATCAGTCTCCATTCTAGAAAGAGGTGCCAGCGTTGGACCTTCCTGCTTGGGTTACGGCTGGAGCTACAGGAAGAATGCAGAGACTGGGGAGACAGGGACTGACAGAATAGGGAAACCACTCACTTTGGACATGGGTATAGGTGGCTAAGTGACCAAAACAAAACAAAACAAAACAACAAAAAACCTTCCCTTCCATTCTCACGTGAATTTCTTTTTAAAAAGTTTTTATTTAGATTCAGGGGGTCCATGTGTATGTTTGTTACATGGGTGTATCTCATACTGATGGGATTGGGCTACTAGTGTACCCATTAGTGAACATTATACCTGATAGGTAACTTTTCAACTCACCCCACTTCCATCTTCCTCTGTTTTGGAGACCCTGGTGAGTATTGTTTCCATCTTTATGTCCATGTGTACCCATTGTTTAGCTCCCATTCATAAGTGAGAACATGCAGTATTTGATTTTTCGTTTCAGTAATTCACTTCCTCCTCCCTTTCACCCTCCGCTTTCTTTCTCCTCGTCCTATTTTTCCTTTTTCTCCTCTGGCTTCCCTTTCTTCTTCCTTCTGTTCTTTACCTTCCTTACCCTGTTCCTCTCTGTCTTCCCTGTTATTTTTTTTTTTATTATACCAGAAGTAAAGACATGAACATTCATTTTGTGAAACATTAAAATTTTGTAGATAGAATTGTAATCCCATTTTACTGTTCGCCTGTCAAGAGGAAACTTTATCAGCTTATTTGGCAAGATTCCAGACTATTTCCTTTATACATACATTACAAAATAATACATAATTTTGATGGACATGTAGATGTCCATTATTTGGATGATTTTTGTTATCGTTATAGATTTTCATAGTAACCAGACTGTTCTATTTTATACTATCTATGCTTTTTCACCAAATTAAAAAATATCCTTTACTTTGTTTATAGTGATAGAATTTAAAATTTGTTAAGTAGTTGTATTTATTTTCTCTAACACTGAACTTTTTTAAAAAGATTCTTAGACAAGAATTTTTTTTTTTTTTTGAGATGGAGTCTCACTGTCACCAGGCTGGAGTACAGTGGCGCAGTCTCAGCTCACCGCAATCTCCGTCTCCTGGGTTCAAACGATTCCCCTGCCTCAGCCTCCCGAGTAGCTGGGACTACAGGTGTGCACCACCATGCCCAGCTAATTTTTTGTATTTTAGTAGAGACAGGGTTTCATCATGTTGGCCAGGATGGTCTCAATCTCCTGACCTCGTGATCTGCTCCCGTCGGCCTCCCAAAGTGCTGGGATTATGGGCATAAGCCACCATGCCCAGCAGAAATATTTTTCTACCCTCAGATCATAAAGACATTCCTTATTTTTCTAGTAGTTTAAGAGGAGTTTTTTTTTCATATTTAGGTCTTTATTCTTTTTGAAATATGTTGTGTCTCTGTGATGTATAGATAGAATTTTATTTTTCCATATGGAAAGCCAATTTTGCTGAACCCTGGTTTTATATGTGTGTGTATATATATACATGACTATTTCTAGCGATTTAAATCTTTTTTTTCTTTTTTTTTCTTTTTTTAGATAGAGTCTCACTCTGTTGCCCAGGCTGGAGTGCAGTGGTGAGATCTTAGCTCACCACAGCCTCTACCTTCTGGGCTCAAATGATCCTTCCACCTCAGCCTCCTGAGTAGCTTGGACAGCAAGCACATGCCACCACACCCGGTCAATTTTTCGTATTTTTAGTAGAGATGGGGTTTCACCATGTTGCCCAGGCTGGTCTTGAACTCTTGGACTCAAGTGATCTGCCTGCCTCAGCCTCCTGAAGTGCTGGGATTACAGGTGTAAGCCACCTCACCCGGCCTACATTTTAAATCTTGTTGTATGTTTGTCTGTTCCTATACCAATTCCACATTGTTTTAATTATCATACATTAAAAATAAATCTTGATATGTAGTTGGTATAGATGCCAATCCCCTTGTCTTGATTTTCTTTTCAATTTGTTTGGTTTTTACTTAATGTTTTACTCTTTCAAATATATAATTTTAATATTTTTAAATTTTCTTCAGGTTTTTTGGGGCATGATTGAAAAAAATTGCATGTATTTAGGGTATACAATGTATTTTTTTTTTTTTTTTGAGACAGAGTCTTGCTCTGTTGCCCAGGCTGGAGTGCAGCGGTATGATCTTGGCTCACTGCAGCCTCCATCTTCCGTGCTCAAGCGATCCTCCCACCTGAGCCTCCCAAATAGTTGGGACGACAGGCATGCACCACCACACCTGGGTAATTTTTTTTTTTTTTGGACTTTTGTAGAGATGGGGTTTTGCCCTGTTGGCCCGGGCTGGTCTGGAACTCCTGGGCTCAAGTGATACACCTGCCTCAGCCTCACAAGGTGCTGGGATTACAAGTGTGAGCCACCACACTCGGGCTGATGTTTTGATATAGGTATACATTATGAAATGATTACCACAATCAACTTAATTGACATATCCATCACCTCACATAGTTTGAGTAAATTTGTCTATCCTATGAAATATTCCCTTGGGATTTTGACTAGAATTTGACTTGTTTTAATCACCAATATGATACATATCTCAATTTCCTCAGTTCTTTTTTGTGCTTCAATAATGTTTTAAAATATATGTCTAAAGGTATGTACATCCTTTTAAAAAATATTTATTCCTCAATAAGTTAAGACATTTTATTTTGCTAATGTGTGTACTTTTTTCTACTGCATTTTATAATTATCTCTTGTGTATAATAATGGTATTTACGTTTGCATGTTGTTCTTGTATTTAGGAAATTTGTTTAGCTCTCATTAGTTTTAATGGTTAGTTTCAAGCTTTTTCTGTTTGATTTCCTATATGGACAATCATATTATCTGCAAATAATGATATGTTTTCCTTCCACTGCAAGCATTATACCCCATTTTGTGTTCTTGGCATGTTTGTCAAAGGTCAATGGACCATAAATATGTGTTTATTTCTAAGCTCTCTATTATGTTCCATTGGGCTATGTGTCTGTTTTTATGCCATTACCATACTGTTTTGATTACTATACCTTTGTAGTATATTTTGAAATCAGGTAGTATGATGCCTTCTTCAGCTTTGTTCTTTATGCTCAAAATTGCTTTGGCTGTTCTTTGTGTGTGTGTGTGTGTGTGTGTGTGTGTGTGTGTGTGTGTGGTTCCATACAAATTTTAGGGCTGTTTTTCTATTTCTATGAAAAATGCCATCAGGATTTTTTTTTATTATACTTTAAGTTCTGGGATACATGTGCAGAACATGCAGTTTTGTTACATAGGTATGCACGTGCCATGGCGGTTTGCTGCACTCATCACCCCATCATCTATATTAGGTGTTTCTCCTAATACTATCCCTCCCCTAGTGCCCCCACCCCCCAACAGGCCCTGGTGTATGATGTTCCCCTCCCTGTGTCCATGTGTTCTTATTGTTCAACTCCCACTTATGAGTGAGAACATGAGGGGTTTGGTTTTCTGTTCCTGTGTTAGTCTGCTGAAAATGATGATTTCCAGCTTCATCCATGTCCCTGCAAAGAACAGCTGAGAATGATGATTTCCAGCTTCATCCATGTCCCTGCAAAGGACATGAACTCATCCTTTTTAATGGCTGCATAGTATTCCATGGTGTATATGTGGCACATTTTCTTTATCCAGTCTATCATTGATAGGCAAAAAATGCCATTAGGATTTTGAGAGGGATTGCGTTGAATCTATAGATTGCTTTGAGTAGTATGGACGTTTTTTAATTCAATTCATGAGCACAGAATATCTTTCCATTTATTTGTGTCTCCTTCAATTTCTTTCATCAATGTTTTATAGTTTCCAAGGTACAGATTTTTTTCACCTCATTGGTTAAATTTATTCCTAAATATTTTATTTCTTCATAGCAGTTGTAAATGGGATTGTTTTCTTGATTTATTTTTCAGATAGTTTGCTGTTGGTATAAGAATGCTACTGATTTCTGTATGTAGATTTGTATCCTGAAATTTTATTATATTCATGTATTAGCTTTTGATGAAGTCTTTGGGGTTTTCTGTACATGAGATCATGTCATCTACAAACAGATAATTTAACTTCTTCCTTTCTAATTTAGATGATTGTTTTTCTTTCATCTGATTACTCTGGCTAAAAGTCCCAGTACTATATTGTACTGAATTAGCGAGGGAGGGCATCCTTGCCTTGTACTGCATCTTAAAGAAAAAGCTTTTAGTTTTATCTTACTGATTATGATGTTAGCTGTGAGCTAGTTATATATGGCCTTTATTGTGTTGGGGAAATTTTCTTCTATATCTAAGTTGTTGGAATTTTTAATCATGAAAGGATGTTGAGTTTTGTCTATGCCTTTTCTGCATTCATTAGAGAATCATAGTTTTTACCCTTCATTCTGTTAATGTGATGTATTGCATTTACTGATTAGTGTATTTTGACTATCCTTGCATCCCAGAGATAAATCCCACTTGATCATGGTGAACAATCCTTTTAATGTGCTATTAAATTTGGTTGGCTAGTATTTTGTTGAGCATTTTGCACCCATGTTCATCAGATATATTCGTCTGTAATTTTCTTTTCTTGTAGTGTCCTTAGCTGGCTTTGGTATCAGGGTAATGCTGACCACATAAAAATAATTTGAAACTATTTCCTCCTCTTCAATTTTTTTTTGAAGAGTTTGAGTAGCGTTGGTGTTAGGTCTTTTTACATGTTTGGCGGAATTCATCAGGGAAGCCATCAAGTTCTGAGGCTTTGATGGGAGATTTTTTATTACTAATTCAATCACCTTACTTATTGGTTTTTTTCAGATGATCTTTTTTTTTTTATAATTCTGTCTTGGTAGGTTGTAATGTTGTAGGAATTTATCCATTTCTTCTAGGTTATCCAATATTTTGGCTTATAATTGTTCACAGTAGTCTCTTATGATCCTTTGTATTTCTGTAGTACCAGTTGTAATGTCTCCTCTTTCATTTTTGATTTTATTTATTTGAGTTTTCTATTTTTTTTAGTTAGTCCATCTCAAGATTTGTCCATTTTGTTTATCTCTTCAAAACCCAACTCTCAGTTTTGTTGGTCTTTTCTATTTTCTATTTAATATATTCCAGTCTCTATTTAATTTATTCCTCTCAGATGTTTATTATTTCCTTTCTTCTGCTTGCTTTGGGCTTAGTTCTTGTTTTTCTAATTCTGTCAAGTGTCAAGTTAGGTTGCTTTTTCAAAATCCTCCCCTTTTTGATAAAAGCATTTATTGCTACAAACTTCTGTCTTAGAACTGCTTTTGCTGCATTCCATAAGTTCTGGGTATGGTGTGTGTCCATTTTTGTTTGTCCCAAGATATTATTTAATTTCCCTTTTTAATTTCTTATTTGAAGAGCCATCAGTTGTTCAGTAACATGTTTAATTTTCATGTATTATGTAAATTTAAAAAAATTCCTCCTGTTATTTCTGGTTTTATTTTTTATTTTTTTAAGGATTGTTAAAAATTTCATAATGGTTTTAACATTAATATGTCTTGTCTTTTGGATACATTTACTTTTTTCTTTATTTATTTATTATACTTTAAGTTCTGGGATACAAGTGCAGAACATGCAGGTTTATTACATAGGTATACATGTGCCATGGTGGTTTGCTGCACCTATCAACTTGTCATTTAGGTTTTAAGCCCCACATGCATTAGGTATTTGTCCTAATGCTCTTCCTCCACTTTCCTCCCACCCCTGACAGTCCCTGGTGTGTGATGTTCCCCTCCCTGTGTCCATGTGTTCTCATTGTTCAACTCCCACTTATGAGTGAGAACATGCGGTGTTTGGTTTTCTGTTCCTGTGTTAGTTTGTTGAGAATGATGGTTTCCAGCTTCAGCCATGTTCCTGCAAAGGACACGAAATTCTTTTTTATGGCTGCATAGTATTCCATGGTGTATATGTGCCACATTTTCCTTATCTAGTCTATCATTGATGGGGATTTGGGTTGGTTCCGAGTCTTTGCTATTGTGAATAGTGCTGCAATAAACATACATGTGCATGTGTCTTTATAGTAGAATGATTTATAATCCTTTGGGTATATACCCAGTAATGGGACTGCTGGGTAAAATGGTATTTCTGGTTCTAGAGCCTTGAGGAATTGCCAGACTGGCTTACACAATGGTTGAACTAATTTACACTTCCATCAACAGCATAAAAACATTCCAGTTTCAGCCGGGTGTGGTGGCTCACGTGTGTAATCCCAGCACTTTGGGAGGCTGAGGTGGGTGGATCATGAGGTCAGGAGATCGAGACCATCCTGGATAACATGGTGAAACCCTATCTCTATTAATATACAAAAAATTAGCCAGGCGTGGTGGCAGGTGCCTATAGTCCCAGCTACTCGGGAGGCTGAGGCAGGAGAATGGTGTGAACCCAGGAGGCGGTGCTTGCAGTGAGCCAAGATCGTGCCACTGCACTCCAGCTTGGGCGACAGAGCGAGACTCCGTCTCAAAAAAAAAAACAAAAAAAAAACAAAAAACGTTCCAGTTTCTCCACATCCTCACCAACATCTGTTGTTTCCAGACTTTTTAATGATCGCCATTCTAACTGGTGTGAGATGGTATCTCATTGTGGTTTTGATTTGCATTTCACTAATGATCAGTGATGACAGGCTTTTTTTCATATGTTTGTTGGCCACATAAATGTCTTCTTTTGAGAAGCATCTGTTCATATCCTTTGTCCACTTTTTGATGGGGTTGTTTGTTTTTTCTTTTATATATATATATATATTTATTATACTTTAAGTTCTAGGGTACATGTGCACAATGTGCAGGTTTGTTACCTATGTATACATGTGCCATGTTGGTGTGCTGCACCCATTAACTCATCATTTACATTAGGTATTTAGGTATATCTCCTAATGCTATCCCTCCCCCCTCCCCCCACCCCACAACAGGCCCCGGTGTGTGATGTTCCCCGTCCTGTGTGCAAGTGTTCTCATTGTTCAATTCCCACCTTTGAGTGAGAACATGCGGTGTTTGGTTTTTTGTCCTTGCAATAGTTTGCTGAGAATGATGGTTTCCAGCTTCATCTATCTCCCTACAAAGGACATGAACTCATCCTTTTTTATGGCTGCATAGTATTCCATGGCATATATGTGACACATTTTCTTAATCCAGTCTATCATTGTTGGACATTTGGGTTGGTTCCAAGTCTTTGTTATTGTGAGTAGTGCCGCAATAAACATATGTGTGCATGTGTCTTTATAGCAGCATGATTTATATTCCTTTCGGTATATACCCAGTAATGGGATGGCTGGGTCAAATGGTATTTCTAGTTCTAGATCCCTAAGGAATCACCACACTGTCTTCCACAATGGTTGAACTAGTTTACAGTCCCACCAACAGTGTAAAAGTGTTCCTATTTCTCCACATCCTCACCAGGACCTGTTGTTTCCTGATATTTTAATGATCGCCATTCTAACTGGTGTGAGATGGTATCTCATTGTGGTTTTGATTTGCATTTCTCTGATGGCCAGTGATGATGAGCATTTTTTCATGTGTCTGTTGGCTGCATAAATGTCTTCTTTCAAGAAGTGTCTGTTCATATCTTTTGCCCACTTTTTGATGGGGTTGTTTGATTTTTTCTTGTAAATTTGTTTAAGTTCTTTGTAGATTCTGGATACTAGCCTTTTGTCAGATGGGTAGATTGTAAAAAATTTTCTCCCGTTCTGTAGGTTGCCTGTTCACTCTGATGGTAGTTTCTTTTGCTGTGCAGCAGCTCTTTAGTTCAATTAGATCCCATTTGACAATTTTGGCTTTTGTTGCCATTGCTATTGGTATTTTAGTCATGAAGTCCTTGCCCATGCCTATGTCCTGAATGGTATTGCCTAGGTTTTCATCTAGGGTTTTTATGGTTTTAGGTCTAACATTTAAGTCTTTAATCCATCTTAAATTAATTTTTGTATAAGGTGTAAGGAAGGGATCCAGTTTCAGCTTTCTACATATGGCTAGCCAGTTTTCCCAGCACCATTTATTAAATAGGGAATCCTTTCCCCATTGTTTGTTTTTCTCAGGTTTGTCAAAGCTCAGATAGTTGTAGAAGTGTGGTATTATTTCTGAGGGTTCTGTTCTATTCCATTGGTCTATATCTCTGTTTTGGTACCAGTACCATGCTGTTTTGGTTACTGTAGCCTTGTAGTATAGTTTGAAGTCAGGTAGCATGATGCCTCCAGCTTTGTTCTTTTGGCTTAGGATTGACTTAGCAATGCAGGCTCTTTTTTGGTTCCATATGAACTTTAAAGTAGTTTTTTCCAATTCTGTGAAGAAAGTCATTGGTAGGTTGATGGGGATGACATTGAATCTATAAATTACCTTGGGCAGTGTGGCCATTTTCACAATATTGATTCTTCCTATCCATGAGCATGGAATGTTCTTCCATTTGTTTATGTCCTCTTATTTCATTGAGCAGTGGTTTGTAGTTCTCCTTGAAGAGGTCTTTCACATCCCTTGTAAGTTGGATTCCTAGGTATTTTATTCTGTTTGAAGAAATTGTGAATGGGTGTTCACTCGTGATTTGGCTCTCTTTGTCTGTTATTGGTGTATAAGAATGCTTGTGATTTTTGTACATTGATTTTGTATCCTGAGACTTTGCTGAAGTTGCTTATCAGCTTAAGGAGATTTTGGACTGAGACGATGGGGTTTTCTAGATATACAATCATGTCATCTGCAAACAGGGACAATTTGACTTCCTCTTTTCCTAATTGAATACCCTTTATTTCTTTCTCCTGCCTGATTGCCCTGGCCAGAACTTCCAACACTATGTTGAATAGGAGTGGTGAGAGAGGGCATCTCTGTCTTGTTCCAGTTTTCAAAAGGAATGCTTCCAGTTTTTGCCCATTCAGTATGATACTGGCTGTGGGTTTGTCATAGATAGCTCTTATTATTTTGAGATACATCCCATCAATACCTAATTTATTGAGAGTTTTTAGCATGAAGGGCTGTTGAATTTTGTCAAAGGCCTTTACTGCATCTATTGAGATAATCATGGGGTTTTTGTCTTTGGTTCTGTTTATATGCTGGATTACGTTTATTGATTTGCATATGTTGAACCAGCCTTGCATCTCAGGGATGAAGCCCACTTGATCATGGTGGATAAGTTTTTGATGTGCTGCTGGATTTGGTTTGCCAGTATTTTATTGAGGATTTTTGCATCGATGTTCATCAGGGATATTGGTCTAAAATTCTCTTTTTTTGTTGTGTCTCTGCCTGGCTTTGGTATCAGGATGATGCTGGCCTCATAAAATGAGTTAGGGAGGATTCCCTCTTTTTCTATTGATTGGAATAGTTTCAGAAGGAATGGTACCAGCTCCTCCTTGTACCTCTGGTAGAATTCAGCTGTGAATCTGTCTGGTCCTGGACTTTTTTTGGTTGGTAAGCTATTAATTATTGCCTCAATTTCAGAGCCTGTTATTGGCCTATTAAGAGATTCAATTTCTTCCTGGTTTAGTCTTGGGAGGGTGAAATTTATCCATTTCTTCTAGATTTTCTAGTTTATTTGTGTAGAGGTGTTTATAGTATTCTCTGATGGTAGTTTGTATTTCTGTGGGATCGGTGGTGATATCCCCTTTATCATTTTTTATTGTGTCTATTTGATTCTTCTATCTTTTCTTCTTTATTATTCTTGCTAGCCAGTCTATCAGTTTTGTTGATCTTTTCAAAAAACCAACTCCTGGATTCATTGATTTTTTGAAGGGTTTTTTGTGTCTCTATCTCCTTCAGTTCTGCTCTGATCTTAGTTATTTCTTGCCTTCTGCTAGCTTTTGAATGTGTTTGCTCTTGCATCTCTAGTTCTTTTAATTGTGATGTTAGGGTGTCAATTTTAGCTCTTTCCTGCTTTCTCTTGTGGGCATTTAGTGCTATAAATTTCCCTCTACACACTGCTTTAAATGTGTCCCAGAGATCTGGTGTGTTGTGTCTTTGTTCTCATTGGTTTCAAAGAACATCTTTTTTCTGCCTTCATTCCATTATGTACCCAGTAGTCATTCAGGAGCAGGTTGTTCAGTTTCCATGTAGTTGAGTGGTTTTGAGTGAGTTTCTCAATCCTGAGTTCTAGTTTGATTGCACTGTGATCTAAGAGACAGTTTGTTATAATTTCTGTTCTTTTACATTTGCTGAGGAGTGCTTTACTTCCAACTATGTGGTCAATTTTGGAATAGGTGTGGTGTGGTGCTGAGAAGAATGTATATTCTGTTGATTTGGGGTGGAGAGTTCTGTAGATGTCTATTAGGTCTGCTTGGTCCACAGCTGAGTTCAATTCCTGGTTATCCTTGTTAACTTTCTGTGTCATTGATCTGTCTAATGTTGACAGTGGGGTGTTAACGTCTCCCATTATTATTGTGTGGGAGTCTAAGTCTCTTTGTAGGTCTCTAAGGACTTGCTTTATGAATCTGGGTGCTCCCGTATTGGGTGCATATATATTTAGGATAGTTAGCTCTTCTTGTTGAATTGATCCCTTTACCATTATGTAATGGCCTTCTTTGTCTCTTTTGATCTTTGTTGATTTAAAGTCTGTTTCATCAGAGATTAGGATTGCAACCCCTGCCTTTTTTTGTTTTCCATTTGCTTGGTAGATCTTCCTCCATCCCTTTATTTTGAGCCTATGTGTGTCTCTGCACATGAGGTGGGTTTCCTGAATACAGCACACTGATGGGTCTTGACTCTTTATCCAATTTGCCAGTCTGTGTCTTTTAATTGGAGCATTTAGCCCATTTACATTTAAGTTTAATATTGTTATGTGTGAATTTGATCCTGTCATTGTGATATTAGCTGGTTATTTTGCTTGTTAGTTGATGCAGTTTCTTCCTAACATCGAGGGTCTTTACAATTTGGCATGTCTTTGCAGTGGCTAGTACTGGTTGTTCCTTTCCATGTTTAGTGCTTCCTTCAGGAGCTCTTGTAGGGCAGGCCTGGTGGAGACAAAATCTCTCAGCATTTGCTTGTCTGTAAAGTATTTTATTTCTCTTCACTTATGAAGCTTAGTTTGGCTGGATATGAAATTCTGGGTTGAAAATTCTTTTCTTTAAGAATGCTGAATATTGGCCCCCATGCTCTTCTGGCTTGTAGAGTTTCTCTGAGAGATCTGCTGTTAGTCTGATGGCTTCCCTTTTTGGGTAACCGAACCTTTCTCTCTGGCTGCTGTTAATATTTTTTTCTTCATTTCAACTTTGGTGAATCTGACAATTATGTGTCTTGGAGTTGCTCTTCTCGAGGAGTATCTTTATGGCATTCTCTGTATTTCCTGAATTTGAATGTTGGCCTGCCTTGCTAGGTTGGGGAAGTTCTCCTAGAAAATATCCTGCAGAGTGTTTTCCAACTTGGTTCCATTCTCCCCGTCGCTTTCAGGTACACCAGTCAGACGTAGATTTGGTCTTTTCACATAGTCCCATATTTCTTGGAGGCTTTGTTCATTTCTTTTCTTTTTTCTCTAAACTTCTCTTCTCGCTTCATTTCATTCATTTGATCTCCAATCACTGATACCTTTTCTTTCACTTGATCAAATCGGCTACTGAAGCTTGTGTATTCATCACGTAGTTCTTGTGCCATGGTTTTCAGCTCCATCAGGTCCTTTAAGGACTTCTCTGCATTGGTTATTCTAGTTAGCCATTCATCTAATCTTTTTTCAAGGTTTTTAGCTTCTTTGCAAAGGGTTCAAACTTCCTCCTTTAGCTCGGAGAAGTTTGATCATCTGAAGCCTTCTTCTCTCAACTTATCAAAGTCATTCTCCGTCCAGCTTTGTTCTGTTGCTGGTGAGGAGCTGTGTTCCTTTGGAGGAGAAGAGGCGCTCTGATTTTTAGAATTTTCAGTATTTCTGTTCTGTTTTTTCCCCATCTTTGTGGTTTTATCTACCTTAGGTCTTTGATGATAGTGACGTACAGATGGGGTTTTGGTGTGGATGTCCTTTCTCTTTGTTAGTTTTCCTTTTAACAGTCAGGACCCTCAGCTGCAGGTCTGTTGGAGTTTGCTGGAGGTCCACTCCAGACCCTGTTGGCCTGGGTATCAGCAGCAGAGGCTGCAGAACAGTGAATATTGCTGAACAGCAAATGTTGCTGTCTGATCATTCCTCTGGAGGTTTTGTGTCAGAGGGGTACCTGGCTGTGTGAGGTGTCAGTCTGCCCCTACTGGGGGGGTGGCTCCCAGATAGGCTACTCGGGGGTCAGGGACCCACTTGAGGAGGCAGTCTGTCCGTTCTCAGATCTGAAGCTCCATGCTGGGAGAACCACTACTCTCTTCAAACCTGTCAGACAGGGACATTTAAGTCTGCAGAGGTTTCTGCTGCCTTTTGTTTGGCTATGCCCTGCCCCCAGAGGTGGAGTCTATAGAGGCAGGCAGGCCTCCTTGACCTGCGGTGGGCTCCACCCAGTACAAGCTTCCCGGCCGCTTTGTTTACCTACTCAAGCCTGAGCAATGGCGGGTGCCCCTCCCCCAGCCTCACTGCCACCTTGCAGTTTGATCTCAGACTGCTGTGCTAGCAATGAGTGAGGCTCCGTGGGCGTGGGACCCTCCGAACCAGGCATGGGATATAATCTCCTGGTGTGCTGTTTGCTAATACCATTGGAAATGGGCAGTATTAAGGTGGGAGTTACCCGATTTTCCAGGTGCCATCTGTCACAGCTTTGCTTGGCTATGAAAGGGAATTCCCTGACCCCTTGCACTTCCCGGGTGAGGCGATGCCTAACCCTGCTTCAGCTCATGCTTGGTGCACTGCACTCACTGTCCTGCACCCACTGTCCGACAAGCCCCAGTGAGATGAACCCGGTACCTCAGTTGGAAATGCAGAAATCACCCGTCTTCTATGTTGCTCATGCTGGGAGCTGTAGACTGGAGCTGTTCCTATTCGGCCATCTTGGAACCACCCCGCAGGGTTGTTGGTTTTTTCTTGTAAATTTGTTTCAGTTCCTTGTAGATTCTGGATATTAGACCTTTGTCAGATGGATAGACTGCAAACATTTTCTCCCATTCTGTAGGTTGCCTGTTCACTCTAATGATAGTTTCTTTTGCTGTGAAGAAATTCTTTAATTAGATCCCATTTTTCAATTTGGGCTTTTGTTGCCATTGCTTTTGGCGTTTTAGTCATGAAGTCTTTCCCCATGCCTATGTCCTGAATGGTATTGCCTAGGTTTTATTCTAGGATTTATATGGTTTTAGGTTTTACGTTTAAGTCTTTAATCCACCTTGAGTTAATTTTTGTATAAGGTGTAAGGAAGGGGTCCAGTTTCACTTTTCTGCATGTGGCTAGCCAGTTTTCCCAGCACCATTTATTAAATCCTTTCCCCATTGTTTGTTTTTGTCAGGTTTGTCAAAGATCAGATGGTTGTAGATGTGTGGCATTATTTCTGAGGCCTCTGTTGTGTTCCATTGGTGTATATGGTTACTGTAGCCTTGTAGTATTGTTTGAAGTCGGGTAGCATGATGCCTCCCACTTTGTTCTTTTTGCTTAGGATTGTCTTGGCTATACAGGCTCATTTTTGATTCCATATGAAATTTAAGGTAGTTATTTCTAGTTCTGTGAAGAAAGTCAATGATGGCTTGATGGAAATAGCATTGAATCTATAAATTACTTTGGGCAGTATGGCCATTTTCACAATATTGATTCTTCCTATTCATGAATATGGAATGTTTTTCCACTTGTTTGTGTTCTTTCTTATTTCCTTAAGCAGTGGTTTATAGTTCTCCTTAAAGCAGTCCTTCATGTCCCTTGTAACTTGTATTCCTAGGTATTTTATTTTCTTTGTAGAAATTGTGAATGGGAGTTCACTTACGATTTGGCTCCCTGTTTGTCTATTATTGGTGTATGGGAATGTTTGTGATTTTTGCACATTGATTTTGTATCCTGAGACTTTACTCAAGTTGCCTATCAAAGTAAGGAGATTTTGGGCTGAGATGATGGGGTTTTCTAAATATACAATCATTTCATCTGCAAAGAGAAATAATTTGACTTCCTGTCTTCCTATTTGAATATGCTTTTTAAAATTTCTCTGACCTGATTGCCCTGGCCAGAACTTCCACACTATGTTGAATAAGAGTGGTTAGAGAGGTCATCCTTGTCTTGTGTTGGTTTTCAAAGGGAGTACTTTCAGCTTTTGCCCATTCAGTATGATATTGGCTCTGGGTTTGTTAGAAATAGCTCATATTATTGTGAGATATGTTCCATCAGTACCTAGTTTATTGAGTGTTTTTAGCATGAAGGGGTGTTAAATTTTATCAAAGCCTTTTCTTCATTTATTGAGATAATCATGTGGTTTTTATCATTGGTCCTGTTTCTGTGATGGATTATATTTATTGATTTGCATATGTTGAACCAGCCTTGCATCCCAGTGATGAAGCTGACTTGATCGTGGTGGATAAGCTTTCTGATGTGCTGCTGGATTCTGTTTGCCAGTATTTTATTGAGGATTTTTGCATCGATGTTCATCAGGGATACTGGCCTGAAATTTTCTTTTTTTGTTGTGTCTCTGCCAGGTTTTTGTATCAGGATGATGCTGGCCTCATAAAATGAGTTAGGGAGGAGTCCCTCTTTTTCTGTTGTTTGGAATAGTTTCAGAAGGAATGGTACCAGCTCCTCTTTGTACCTCTGGTAGAATTTTTCTGTGAATCTGTCTGGTCCTGGGCTTGTTTTGGTTGGTAGGCTATTAATTACTGCCTCAATTTCAGAACTTGTTATTGGTCTATTCAGGGATTCAACTTCTTCCTGCTTTAGTGTTGGGAGGGTGTATGTGTCCAGGAATTTATCTGTTTCTTCTAGATTTTCTAGTTTATTTGCGTAGAGGTGTTTTTAGTATTCCCTGATGGTAGTTTGTATTTCTGTGGGATCAGTGGTGATATCCCACTGATGGGGATCCTTTTGTAGGTGACCTGTGCTTTCTCTCTAGCTGCCTTTAACATTCTTTCTTTGATTTCAACCTTGGAAAATCCTTGATTTTGGGAATGATCTTATGTAGAATCTTGCAGGAGTTCTCTGTGTTTCCTCAATTTTACTGTTGGCCTCCCTAGCAAGATTGGGACAATTTTCATGGATGATATCTTGAAATATATGTTCCAAGTTGTTTGGTTTCTCCCCCTCCCTTTCAGGGACACCAGTGATTCATAGATTTGGCCTCTTTACGTAATCCCATACTTCTCAAAGAATTTGTTCACTTTTAAAATTCTTTTTTCTTTATTTTTGTCTGACTGTCTTATTTCAGAGAATCAGTCTTCAAGTTCTGAAATTCTGTTTGTTTTTGTTTTTTGTTTTGTTTTGTTTTGTTTTGAGACAGTTTTGCTCTTGTTGCCCAGGCTGGAGTGCAGTGCTGCAATCTTGGCTCACTGCAACCTCTGCCTCCTGGGTTCAAGCAATTCTCCTGCCTCAGCCTCCCAAGTAGCTGGGATTACAGGCACCTGCCACCATGCCCAGCTAATTTTTGTATTTTTAGTAGAGAGGGGCTTTCACCATTTTGGCCAGGCTGGTCTCGAACTCCTGACCTCAGATGATCTGGCTGCCTCAGCCTGCCAACATGCTGGGATTACAGGCATGAGTCACTGTGCCCAGCCTGAAATTCTTTCTTCAGCTCGATTTATTCTGCTCTTAATACTTGTGATTGCATTGTGAAATTCTTGTGTTATTCAGCTCTGCCAGACCTGTTAGTTTCTTTTTTATACTTGTTATTTCATTCTTCATCTCCTATATCACTTCATTGTGATTTCCATTTTCCTTGGATTGAGTTTTGCCATCCTCCTGAGTCTTGGTGATCTTTGTTCCTATCCATATTCTGAATTCTATTTCTGTCATTCCAGCCAGTGCAGCCTGGTTAAGAACTGTTGTTGGAGAACTGCTGCAGTCATTTGGAGGAAATATGACAGGTACCAAAGTTCTTACCTTGGTTCTTTCTCATCTGTGTGTGTGAGTGTTCCCTTAACTGCAGTAAAGATTGAACACAGTCAATAGATTTCTTTTCTGGATGTTTTCACTGGACCAAGACATTGTGTAGGGTCTTTATTTGAAGCTGACTTCTTGTCTCTGATTTCAGAGGGAGGTATGTTAATGAGGTATTTTTGGTGTTGAAGCCTTGGGATGTGATCCAGCAGGTACACTTAGGCTTATTGGTCAGTTGGTAGACTCTTGCCCCTTTGTGTGGCTCCCCTGTGTTTTCCTGCAGTTGCAGTCATGTTCCCTCTCAGTGCTCTGAAAATGTGGTTCCTCTCCCCGTTAAGTACAGGGTGTAGTTCACGATTTGGCAGTCCTGGGCTGCCCACTGCAGCTCTTGGGTGATTTCAGTGTTTATGTTCTTTTCCCAGCTTAGCGGCGCAGAGGAAGAGATCTTAGTAGTGGTTGTGGCCAAGGGTCATTTGCTTGATTCCTTGGGACTCCAACTCAGAGAGATGCAGGTCAGCAATTGCTCAGTGCAGTCAACCCAAGATGGAGAGTTTGTGCTGTGGGCCCAAGCCAGGGGTTCCCTGTCTGTTGATAAGCCATGGGGGCTATATGGGACCCGTGGGAGATGGACTGACGTCCTCCCCTTGGGTCAACTGCAGCTCACTGGAGGTATGAATAAGGCACTTAGGGTCTCTACTTCTTCACTAATCTGACGGTGGCAAGGGCAGTTCCCTTGGGAGCTTTGCCAAGGGAGGTATGGACCTGTTGCTGGCCCAAAGTCACCTATAGGAAGTGGCTAGAGACCCCGGTTGGGAGGTCCTGCCCAGTAAGGAGGAATGGGATCAGGACCCATTTTAAAAAGCAGTCTGGCCACGTTTTTGTAGAGCAGCTTTTCTGTGCAGCACTGGGGGTCCACTTCAGGGCCCAGTCACCCCAGACACTCCAAAGTCCAAAGGCTGGAATAGCTAAGTCACCCAAACAGTAAAGATGGTGGCCTTCCCCTCCCTCTGGGAGTGCCATGCCAAGAGTAATTCAGATCTCTGTTGGTTGGAGTGCCTAGGTGGGGTGGCTTGAGGCCTGAGTTGGGAGGTCCTGCTCAGTAAGGAGGAACAGGATTGGGTACCTGCTTAAAGCAGCAGTCTGGCCACATTTTGGTAGAGTGGCTGTACTGTTCTGGGGGATCCCTTCTGCCCCAGGTCAGCTCAGACTCTCCAAAGCCTGAAGGCTGGAATGACTAAGGTGCCTGAACAGCAATGGTGGTGGCCCACCCCAACCCCAGGGAGCTCCTTCTTAGGGAGGTGCAGTGCCACTACTGGTAGCTGCTGGAATTCCAAGTCAGTGGGTCTTATCTTGTGAAGTGCTGTGGAAGTGGGGTCCGTGGGCTGTTGCTGCTCAGCCCCCTGGATTCATCCTCTTTCCTAGGGGCATGCACAGGAGTCTAACCTCCCACTTTGCTGGAGCTGCAGCTACGTTTTCTAGAAAGCCTTAGCATCTAAGGCTGCAGGGTCTCCATGCGTGCCTGAGCAGCTGCTATGCCAAGACTCCACCTAGTTCTGTCTGTCAAACTGAAGACTGAAGGCCCTGGTGGAGTGCGTTCACAAGGAGACCTCTTGACCAGCAAGTTGCAAAGATCTGTGGGAGAAGCATGGTTTCCCAGG
This sequence comes from Homo sapiens, assembly GCF_000001405.40. NCBI lineage: Eukaryota > Metazoa > Chordata > Mammalia > Primates > Hominidae > Homo > Homo sapiens. The sequence goes on along the minus strand of NC_000014.9, from coordinate 70,496,663 downwards.
GCTGCTCATTCACTCACTGCTTCCCTGGGCAGGGGGGAATCCCATGGCTCCATGTCGCTGCTAGGTGGGCCATTGTCCTGTCTTGCTTTTGTTTGTTCTCTGTGGGTAAGGCTGTTTCCTTGATTAACCCCAGTGCGAGTACCTGGATGTTTCAATTGAAGGTATTGTATTTATTCACCCCTTCTCTTCCTCTCCATGAGAGCCATGCACACTATCTGCTTCTATTCGGCCATCTTGGCCACTCCTTTTTTTTTTTTTTTCTTTTTACTATGCTATAAGAAGCAGTTCTTACAGCATTGGTCTATTTTTACTTTTATTTTTGGAAATTAAAAATTATTTATTATGTTATTTTTCACTATGGGCTACTTAGAAACTATATAGCATGTTTTTCCAAACTGTGTATTAAAATTCTTTAGTTTTTAAAAATTTTTAAATAATAATTTTATTTAATATAAAAATATAGAGTACTTCACAAATTTGTGTGTCATCCTTGTGCAAGGGGCCATGATAATATTCTGTGTATTATTCCAATTTTAGTATTTGCTTCCAAAGTGAGCACTGCTAGTTTTTTTAGTTTTTTTTTTTTTAATTTTTGTGGGTTCATAGTAGGTATATGCATTTGTGGGGTACATGAGATGTTTTGATACAGTCATGCGATATTAAATAATCACATCATGGAGAATGGAATATCCATTCCCTCTAGCATTTTTCCTTTGTGTTACAAACAATCCAATTACGCTTTTTAAGTTATTTTAAAATGTAGAATTAATTTATTATTGACTATAGGCACCCTGTTGTGATATCAAATAGTAGGTCTTATTCATTCTTTCTATTTTTTAAAACCTATTAGCTATCCCAACCTCCCCTCCACCACCACGTCCCCTTCCCAGCCTCTGGTAACGATTCTACTGCTGCTCTGTGTCCACAAGTTCAATTGTTTTGATTTTTACATTCCACAGATAAGCGAGAACATGCAATGTTTGTGCCTGGCTTATTTCACTTAACATGACCTCCAGTTCCATCCATGTTGCTGCAAATGAAAATTATAGGAGCTCATTGTTGTTAATGGCTGAGTAGTACTCCATTATGTATATGTACCACATTTTCTTTATCCATTCATCTGTTAATGGACACTTAGGTTGCTTCCAAATCTTAGCTATTGTAAGCAGTGCTGGAACAAACATAGGAGTGCAGATATCTCTTTGATATACTGTTTACTTTCTTTGGAGTATATACCCAGGAGTGGGATTGCTGGATCATATGGTAGCTCTATGTTCATTTCTGTGAGGAACCTCCAAACTGTTCTCCATAGTGATTGTACTAATTTACATTCCCACCAACAGTGTATGAGGTTTCCCTTTTCTCCACATCCTCACCAGCATTGGTTATTGCCTGTCTTTAAGATAAAGGCCATTTTAACTAGGGTAAAAAGATATCTCATTATAGTTTCGATTTGCTGATGATCAATGATGTTGAGCATATTTTCATACACCTGCTTGCCATTAGTATGTCTCCTTTTGAGAAAGGTCTATTCAGATCTTTTGCCCATTTTTTAATTGGATTGTTATATTTTTTTCCTATAGAGTTGTTTGAGCTCCTTATATATTCTGGTTATTAATCCCTTGTCAGATAGGTAGTTTGAAAATATTTTCTTCCATTCTGTGGGTTGTCTCTTCATTTTGTTGACAGTTTCCTTTGCTTTGCAGAAGCTTTTTAACTTGACGTGATCTCATTTGTCCATTTTTGCTTTGATTGCCTGTGCTTGTGGGGTATGCCTCAAGAAATTTTTGCCCAGAGCATTGTCCTGGAGAATTTCCCCAATATTTTCTTGTAGTAATTTCATAGTTTGAGGTCTTAGATATAAGTCTTTAACCTGTTTTGATTTTATTTTTGAATACATTGAGACATAGGGGCCTAGTTTCATTCTTCTGTATATGGATATCCAGTTTTCCTAGCACCATTCAGTGAAGAGACTGTCTTTTCCCCAGTGTATGTTCCTGGCATCTTTGTAAAAAATGACTTCACTGTAGGTGTGATGATTTGTTTGTGGGTTCTTTATTCTGTTCCATTGTCCTATGTGTCTGTTTTTACACCAGTACCATGTCATTTTGGTTACTATAGCTTTGTAGTATAATTTGAAGTCAGGTAATGTGATTCCTCCAGTTTTATTATTTTTGCTTAGGATAGTGTTGGCTATTCTGTGGTTCCACATAAATTTTAGGATTGTTTTGTCTATTTCTCAATTTTTTTTTTTTTTTGAGACAGGGTCTTGCTCTGTCACCCACTCTGGAGTTCAGTGATGCAATCCTGGCTCACTGCAACCTCTGCCTCCCAGGCTTAAGCCATCCTCCCACCTCAGCTTCCTGAGTAGCTGGGACTACAGGCACATGCCACCACACCTGACTAATTTTTGTATTTTTCTGTAGAGACAGGGTTTTGCCATGTTGCCCAGGCTGGTTTCAAACTTCTGAGCTCAAGCAATTCACTCACCTCGGCTTCTTGAAGTGCTGGCATTACAGGCATGAGCCCCTGCATCCTGCCTTTTTTTTTCCTTTGAATAATCTTCACAGATGATAAAAATATAAATTCTATATAAATTTTATGATTTTTTTATTTCTGTGAAGAATCTTATTGGTATTTTGATAGGCATTGCACTGAGTCTGGAGTTTCCTTTGGGTAGTATGCACATTTTAACTATTTTGATTCTTTCAATTCATAAACATGGAATATTTTCTATTTTTTGGTGTCCTCATCAATTTATTTCATCAGTGCTTTATAGTTTTCATTATAGACATCTTTCATTTCTTTGGTTAATTCCTAGGTAGTTAAATTTTTGTTGCTACTGCAAATGGAATTACTTTGTAAATTTCTTTTTCAGATTGTTGACTGTTGGCATATAGAAATGCTACAGATTTTTGGATGTTGATTTTGTATTCTGCAATTTTACTGAATTTGTTTATCAGTTCCAACAGTTTTATTGTGGAGTCTTTAGGTTTTTCCAAATATAAAATTATATCATCTGTAAACAAGGATCATTTGACTTCTTCCTTTTCAATTTGGATGCCCTTTCTTTCCTTCTCTTGTCTGGTTGCTCTAGCTAGGACTTCCAGTACTATGTTGAATAACAATGGTGAAAGTGGCATCCTTGTCATGTTCTAGACCTTAGAGGAAAGGCTTTCTGACTTTTCCCATTCAGTATATACTAGCTGTGAGTCTGTCATATATGGCTTTTATTATGTTGAGGTATGTTCCTTCTATACCTAGTTTTTTGAGTCTTTATTATGAAGGGATGTTAAATTTTATCAAATGCTTTTTTAGCATCAATTGAAATGATCATATGGTTTTCATCCTTCATTCTGCTGATCTGATGTATCACATTGATTGTTTTGCATGTATTGGACTGTCCTTGCATCCCAGACGTAAATCCCCCTTGGTCATGATGAATGATTTTTCTAATGTGCTGTTGAATTAGGTTTGCTAGTATTTTGTTGAGGATTTTTGCATCAATATTTATCAGAGATATTTGCCAGTAGTGTTTTTTTTTTTTTTTTTTTTTTGATGTGTCTTTGGTATCAGGGTAATACTGGCATTATAGAAAGAGTCTAGAAGTATTCTCTTCTCCTCTACTTTTCAGAATAGTTTGAGTAGGATTGGTATTAGTACTACTTTAATGTTTGGTATAATTCAGCAGTGTCACCATTGAGTGCCAGGCTTTTCTTTACTGGGAGACTTTTTATTACAGCTTCAATCTCATTACTTGGTTTTGTTCTGGACAGGTTTTGGATTTCTTCATGGTTCAATTTGGTTTTTTTGAGACAGAGTCTCAAAAAAAAGGAGTGCAGTGGTGTGGTCTCAGCTCACTGCAACCTCCACCTCCTAGGCTCAAGCAATTATTGTGCCTCAGCCACCCAAGTAGTTGGGGTTACAGGCACGTGCCACCATGCCTGGCTAATTTTTTGTACTTTTAGTAGAGACAGGATTTCACCATGTTGGCCAGGTTGGTCTCGAACTCCTGGCCTCAAGTGATCCACCCACCTTGGCCTCTCAAAGTACTGGGATTACAAGCATGAACCACTATGCCTGGCCCATGGTTCAATCTTGTTCTCATAATAGTGAGTTCTCACAAGACTTGATGGTTTTATAAGTAGAAGCTTCCCCTGCTCTTGCATCTCTCACCTGCCCCCACGTAAGACGTGCTTGCTTCCCCTTCCCCTTCTGCCATGATTATAAGTTTCCTAAGGCCTCCTATCCATGCTTCCTATTAATCCTGCAGAACTGTGACTGAATTAAACCTCTTTCCTTTATAAATTACCCAGTCTCAGGTAGTATCTTTAAAGCAATGGGATAATGGACTAATACAGTAAATGGGTACTGGTAGAATAGGGTACTGCTATAAAGATAACCTGAAAGTGTGGAAGCAACTTTGGAACTGGGTAATGGGCAGAGGTTGGAACAGTTTGGAGAGCTCAGAAGAAGACAGGAAGATGTGGGAAAGTTTGGAGCTTCCTAGAGACTTACTGAATGGTTTTGACCAAAATGTTGATAGTGATATGTACAATGAAGTCCAGGTTGAGCTGGTCTCAGATGGAGATGAGGAACTTATGTTTAAAAGGAAATCAGAACATAAAAGTTTGGAAAATTTGCAGTCTGACCATGTGGTATAAAAGTAAAACCCATTTTCTGGAAAGAAAGTCAAGATGGCTGCAGAAATTTACATACGTAATGAGGAGCCAAATGTTAATAGCCAAGACAATGGGGAAAATGTCTCCAAGGCATGTCAGAAACCTACTGGGAAGCTTCTCCCGTCACAGGCCTGGAGGCCTAAGAGGGAAAAATGGTTTTGTGCGCCAGGCCAGGGACCTGCTGCTTTGTGCAGCCTCGGGACTTGGTGCTCCATGTCCCAGCCACTCCAGCCTTAGCAGTGGCTAAAAGGGGCCAAGGTATGGCTTAGCATTGCTTCAGAGGGTGCAAGCCCCAAGCCTTGGCAGTTTCCACATGGTGTTGGGCCTGTGGATGCACAGAAGGCAAGAGCTGAGGTTTGGGAACCTCCAACTATATTTTAGAGGATGTATGGAAATGCCTGGAAGTCCAGGCAGAAGTCTGCTGCAGGAGTGGAGCCCTCATGGAGAACCTCTGCTAGGTCAGTGCCGAAGAGAAATGTGGGGTTGCAGCCCCCATGCAGAGTCCCCACTGGGGCACTTCCTAGTGCAGCTGTGACAAGAGGGCCACCATCCTCCAGACCCCAGACCCACTGACAGCTTGCACTGTGTAACTGAAAAAGCCACAGACACTCTGGGTTTTGAACTTGCATGGGTCTTGTAGCTCCTTTATTTTGGCCAATTTCTCTCATTTGGAATGGGAACATTTAACCAATGCCTGTACCCCAACTGTATCTTGGAAGTAACTAACTTGTTTTTGGTTTTACTAGATGAGACTATGGATTTGGACTTTTGAGTTAATGCTGGAATGAATTAAGACTTCGGAGTATTGTTGGGAAGGCATGATTGGTTTTGGAATGTTAGGACATGAGATTTGGGAAAGGACAGGGCAGAATGATATGGTTTGGCTCTGTGTCCCCACCCAAATCTTATCTTGAATTGTAATCCAAATTGTAATCCCCATGTGTTGAGGAAAGGACCTGGTGGGAGGTGACTGGATGATGGGGGTGGTTCCCCCATGCTTTTCTCATGATAGTGAGTTCTTACGAGATCTGATGGTTTTATAAGTAGACGTTTCCATGGCTCTCATGCTTCTTGCCTGCCACCATGTAAGATGTGCTTGCTTTCCCTTAGTCCTCCACCATGATTGTAAGTTTCCTGAGGCCTCCTAACCATGCTTCCTGCTAAGCCTGCAGAACTGTGAGTCAATTAAACCTCTTTCCTTTATAAATTACCTAGTCTCAGGTTGTATCTTTATAGTAGTGTGAGAATGGACTAATACAGATATGGACAGTGAAGTCTGGACTGAGGAGGTCTCAAATGGAGATGAGGAACTTATTGGGAACTGGGATAAAGGTCACTCTTGTTCTGCTTTAGCAAAGAGACTGGTGGCATTGTGCCCCTGCTCTAGAGACCTGTGGAACTTTGAACTTGACAGAGATGATTTACGTTATCTGGCAAAAGAAATTTTTTTTTATAAGACAGGGTCTCACTCTGTCACCCAGGCTAGCATGCAGTTGCGTGATCTCAGTCACTGCAACCTCTGCTTCCCAGGCTCAAGCAATTCTCCAGCCTCAGCCTCCCAAATAGCTGGGCCTACAGGTTCACACCATCACACAGAGCTAATTTTTATATTCTTTATAGAGAAAGGATTTTGCTGTGTTGCCCAGGCTGGTCTCAAACTCCTGAGCTCAAAGCGACCTACCCACCTTAGCCTCCCAAAATGCTGAGATTATAGGCATGAGCCACCGTGTCTGGCCAGGCGGAAGAAATTTCTAAGTAACAAAGCATTCAAGCTGTGGCCTGGCTGCTTCTAAAAGCTTATGCTCATTTGCATAAGCACTGAAATGAATTGAAACTTGAACTTATATTTAAAAGGAAGCAGAGCATGAAAGTGTGGAAAATTGCAGCCTGGCTATGTGGTAGAAAAGAAAAACTCATTTTCAGCGGAGGAATTTAAGCCCAAGCTGGCTGCAGAAATTTGCATAAGTAAAGAGGAGCCAAATGTTCATAGCCAAGACAATGGGGAAAATGCCTCCAGGGCATTTCAGAGACCTTCACGGCAGCCCCTCCCATCACAGGCCCAGAAACCTAGGAGGGAAAAATGGTTTCATGGGCTGGGCCTCGGTCTTCAGGCCTCACTGCCCTGTGCAACCTAAGGACACTGCTCCCTGCATTCCAGCCACTCCAGCTCCAGCTGTGGCTAAAAGAGCCCCAGATATGTCTCAGATCACTGCTCCAGAGGGTGCAAGCTGGAAGCTGCCAAGACTTCTATGTGGTGTTAAGCCTGTAGGTGCACAAAGGGCAAGAATTGAGGCTTGGGAGTGAAGTGACACAAGCACCCCTGTGGCCACCACCACTGTGACTTTGTTGGGTCACACCTGCAGCCAGAACAGCACTGAGTCTCACCCAAGGCCTGCTGTAACCAATCCCTTGCTACTGTCTGTGTTTACACAAGGTTCTGGGGCTGTACAATTAGCAGGTGGAAAAGCCACCCAGGCCTGTGTTTTTTTTTTTTACTTCAGGAAAGCAAGTTCCTCAAAACCTCAGGTGGGTCCAGAGATGCTCTCTGGGAGTTGAGGACTAGAGTCAAAAGCTTTAGCAGCCTACCTGGTGTTCTATTTTACTGCAGCTGAGCTGGGACTCAAACTACAAGATGCAATCTTTTTCACTATTCCCTCCCCTTTCCAAAGGCAGAGGAGCCTCACTCCATAGCCACCACCATCACATGCCACAAGGAGTACTGCCAGACTACTGGTAATGTTCCCTTAAGGCTCAAGGGCTCTTAAGTCAGCTGTGGTGAATGCTGCCTGGCCTGGGACTCACCCTTCAGTGGGCTCCCCTCCAGCCCAGGGCAGGTCCAGAAATGCCATCCAAGAATCCAGTCCTGGAATCAAGGACCCCAAGAGCCCACTTGGTGCTCTACTTCTCTGTGGCCATGCTGATATGTAAGGTAGAAGACAAACTCCCCTTTACTTTTCCCTCTGCTTTTTTCAAGCAGAAGGAGTTTCTCCCAATAGCCACCACAACTGGTAATGTGCTATGTCTCACCTGAAGCTGGCAAGTCTCAGAGGCTCACCCAAGATTCTTGACATAGTACCTGGGTATTGCTGCTGATTATTCAGGGCTTAAGGGCTCTGTAGTTAGCAGGTGATGAATGCTTCCATGTCTGGGCCCCTTTCTTCAAGGCAGCAGGTTTCCTTCTGGCCCAGGATGTGTCTAGAAATGTTGTCCAAGAGCTAGGGCCTGAAATGGGGGCCTCATGACTCTGGCCAGTGCCCTGTCCTGCTGTGGCTGAGCTGATATCCAAGTTGCAAAACAAGTCCTCCCCATTCTTCCCACTCCTCTCCTCAAGTGGAAGGAAGGACAACCAGGTCTCTTGCAAGCTGTGAAGTCTGATTTTAGAGGAGGAGTGATGCCAGCACTCCCTTAGACACCCTGGCTGGTGTCTCAGTTGGTCACGTGTCCCCCACCCCATCCCCCCCTGCCACCAACCCAGTCCACTGACTCTGGGCCTAGTTCAGCACTAGGACTTATCTTAGAGTTGCAGTCCTTATAGCCTATACTGCCTTTCAAATTTACTTAGAGACATGCAGCACTGTAGCCCTCAGTGGTGAGGTTTGCAGGTACTCAAGTACAGACTGCTGGGACTAGCAGTTCCCCTCTGGCTAGGGCTTATTTAAATGCTCCCTCTATGGGCAAGTGTCAGCTGAGTTCAGTCTGATTTTCCTTTCTGGTCTAACAGGACAGCACTGAGTTTAATCCCTCCAATTGTTGTGCTCTCTCTCCCCCAGCATCCAGACATGCTCTCTGCACCCCACTACAGTTGCCTGGGGCAGGAGTGGTGGTGTCGGGAATTCAAGACTGTTTTTTTCTATTTCTTCGGTCCCTCTTTCAGGGATACAAAGTAATATGAAGATAAAACCAGGTACTAGGAGTGCTCTTGTGATTTTTGGTTCTTATGAAGGTTTTTTTTGTTTTTGTTTTTTTTTCTGTGTAGATAGTTGTTAAATTGGTGCTCTTGCAGTGGTGACAATCGGTAGAGCCTTCTGTTCCACCATATTGCTCCCCCTCTGCTCCTGCTTTCACATTGGGTTATTTTTTAATTTTTAAAATTAATATACTTTATTTTTTGGAACATTATTAGGCTTACAGAAAAACTGAATAGAAAGTACAGGAAGCTTCCATTTACTTCCTGTCTCCCCTACCCACATTCTCCCCTATTATTAACATCTTGCATTGGTAGGTACAGTTGATACAATTGATGAATCAATATCAATACATTGTTACTAACTCAATTCATAGTTTACATTGAGGTTCACCCTTTGTGTTGTACATTTCTATGGATTTGAAAAACACATGTCATGTATCTACCATTGCAGCACAATACAGAATAGTTTCACTCCATAAAAATCCCGTGTATGCCAGCTATTCATTCCATCTCTTTAACACTGCCCCGCCAACTCTGGAAGCCACTGATATTTTTAATCTCTATAGTATCACCTTTTACAACATTGGAAACATAAAAGTATGTCAGCATTACACCTATTCAAGGATATCTTTGTTGCTTTCAATTTTTATCAATTATGAGTAAATCGGCTATAGATATATGTACACAGATTTTTGTGGACATAAGTTTTCAATACATTTGTGTAAATACCTAGGAGTGTGATAACTGGATTATATGGTAAGACAATGTTTAGCTTAGTAAGAAACTGCCAAAATGCCTTCCAAATTGGCTGTATCATTTTGCATTCCCACCAGCAATGAAGGAGAGAGTTTCTGTTGCTCCACAACCCTACCATCATTTCCTGTTGTTGGTGTTTTAGATTGTAGCCATTCTAATAGATTATGTGTGGTGGTATCTCCTTGTGGTTTTAATTTGCAATTCCCTAATGACATGTGATGTTGAGCATCCATAAATATGCTTATTTGTTATCTGTATATCTTCTTTGGTGAAGTATATGTTCAGATTTTTTGCTTATTACTTAATGGGTTGTTTTTTCTTACTGTTGAGTTTTAAGAGTTCTATCTATATTTTGGATACAAATGTTTCATCAGATATGTGCTTTGCAAATATTTCCTTCCAGTTCATGGCTTGTCTTTCCATTCTCTTAACAGTGCTTTTTACAGAACTGAAGTTTTTCATTTTAAAAAAGTCCAACTGATCATTTTGTTCATTCAAGGAACATTCATGCTTTTTGTATGGTATATAAAACATTGCCAAATCCAAAGTCATATACGTTTTCTCCTATATTAGTTTCCAGAAGTTTTAAAGTTCTTTTAAAAAGTTATTTATTTATTTAATTGAAATGTTGTAATTGTATATATGTATGGGGTACAATTTAATGTTTTGATACATATCTATGTTGTATAATGATCCAATCTGGGTAGTCAGTGTATGTATCACCTCATGCATTTACATTCCTTAAGGTGAGAACCTTCAAAAGCCTCTCTTCTAGCTATTTTGTAATATACAATATTTTAATGTCAACCATAGTCATGATACTGTGCAATAGAACACCAGAATTTACTCCTTCTATCTAATTGTAACTTCGTACCCATTGACCAACTTCTCCTATCCTCCTCTTTTCCTCTATCTGAAGTCTTTGGTAACCACTGTTCTATTCTTTGCTTCTGTGATATCAGCTTAAAAAAAATAGATTCCATGTATGAGTGAGATCATGCAGTGCTTGTCTTTTCTGTGTCTGGCTTATTTCATGTATCATGATCTCCTCCAGGTTCATTCATGTTGTCTCAAATCGTAGGATTTCATTTGTTTTTATGGCTGAATAGTGTCCCATTGTGTATATATACCACATTTTCAATATCCATTCATCCATTGATGGACACTTAGATATGTTTCATATCTTGGCTATTGTGAATAGTGCTGCAATAAACATGAGAGTGCATATATCTCTTCAACATATTGATTTCCTTTATTCTGGGTATAAACTCAGCAGTGGGACTGTGAGGTCATATGGTAGTTCTATTTTTACTTTTTTCTGAGGAACCTCCATACTGTTTTCCATAATGGCTGTACTACTTTACATTCCCACCAACAGCATATGAGTATTCTTTCTCTCTATCCTTGCCAGCATTTTTAAAAAATCTTTTTGATAATAGCCATCCTAGCTGAAGTGAGGTGTTATCTCCTTTGGTTTTGATTTGCATTTCTCTGATGATTAGTGATGTTGAGCATTTTTTCATATACCTATTGACCATTTGTATATCTTCTTTTTAAAAATGTCGATTCAGGTCTTTTTGCCCATTATTAGGTTGAAGTATTTGGTTTTTAGCTGTTGAATTGTTTAAGTTCTTTATATATTCTGTATATTAACCTCTTGTCAGATAAATAGTCTTAAAATTTTTTTACATTCTGCAGGTTGTCTCCTCACTCTGTTAATAGTTTATTTTGCAGTGCAAAAGTATTTTAGTTTGATATAATCCTGTTTGTGTATCTTTGCTTTTTTTGCCTGTGCTTTTGAGGTCTTATTTTTCCAAATTCTTGAAAAATTCAGCCCAATATTGGGAAGGATTTTCTTTATGTTTTCTTCTACTAGTTTCATAGTTTTTGTGTTTTATATTTAAGATTTTAATCCATTTTAAGTTAATTTTTGTATACGGTGAGAGTTAGGGATCTGGTCTCATTCTTCTGCATAGAATATCCAATTTTGCTAGCATCATTTATTAAAGAGACTGTCTTTTCTCCAATGTGTGTCCTTGGCACCTTTGTCAAGGATCAGGGTTGTTGATTTGTTTCTGGGTTTTACATTCTATTCTATTGGTCTATGGATCAGTTTCTATGTCACTACCATGATGTTTTGGTTACAATAGCTTTGTAATATATTTTCAAGCCAGGTAGTGTGAGGCCTCCAGCTTCACACTCCAATGGAATCTTTTATGATTTCACATAAATTTTATGGTTTGTTTTTTCTTTATCTGTGAAGAATGTCATTGGTATTTTGATAGGGATTGTATTAAATCTCATTGCTTTGGGTAGTATGGCCATTTTAAAAACATAAATTCTTCCAATCTATGAACACTTCTACTTATTTGTATCCTCTTCAGTTTCTTTCATCAAAGTTTTATAGTTTTCAGTGTAGAAATCTTTCACCTGCATGGTTATGTTTATTCCTAGGAGTTTGCTGTTGTTGTAGTTGTTGTTGCGATTGTAAATAAAATTGTTTTCTTGATTTCTTTTTAAGATAGTTCACTATTAGCATATTGAAATGGTAATAATTTTTATGTTGATTTTGTAGCCTGTAACTTTTAATTGAATTTGTTTATTATTTCTAGAGGTTTTTTGGTGGAGTCTTTAGGGTTTTCTCTATACAAGATGAAGTCATCTGCAAACAGGACCAATTTGACTTCCTCTTTTCCAATTTGGATGCCTTTTACTTCTTTCTCTTACCTAATTGATCTGGCTAGGACTTCCAGTAAAATATTGAAAGTGGGCCTTCTTATTTGGTTCCTGAGCTTTTCCCTTTTCACTATGATGTTAGCTGGGAGTTTGTCATATATGGTCTTTATTGCGTTTAGGTGCATAACTCTATACCTAATTCGTTGAGAAATTTTGTCATGAAAGGATGTTGAATCTTGTCAAATTATTTTCTGCATCTATTAAAATATCACATGGTTTCTGTCACTCTTTCTTGTAACGTGGTGTAGTGCATTTGTTGATTTGTGTATGCTAAATCATCTTGCATCACTGGCATTAATCCCACTTGATCATATTGAATAGTCTTCTTAATATGCTGTTGGATTTGGATTGCTAACACCTTACTAAGAATTTTTGCATGTACATTCATCAAGGAGTTTTTGTTGGCCTGTTGTTTTTGTTGTTGTTGCTGTGTTGTTTGGTTTTGGAATCAGGGCAGTAGTGGCCTGGTAAAACTAGTTTGGCAATACTCATTCCTTTTCAGTTTTTCTGGAATAGTTTGAGGAGAATAGGCATTAGCTCTTCAAATGTTTGTAGAATTCAGCACTGAAGCCATTAGTTCCTGAGCTTTTCTTTGATGAAAGACTTTTTATTACTGATTCAGTTTCCTCGCTCATGTATTACTGATTCAATTTCCTCACTCATCACTGGCCTGTTCAAATTTTCTATTTCTTCATAATTTAATGTTGGTAGGTTATATCTGTCCAGGAATTGATCCCTTTCTTCTGTGTTATGAAATTTGTTGTCATAATAGTCTCTTATGACCCTTTATATTCCTGTACTATCAGTTGTAACATCTCCTTTTCATCTGCATTTTATTTATTTCAGCCTTCTCTCTCTTTTTTTCTTAGTCTAGATAAAGGCTTGTGGATTTTGTTTTTTAAACCAGCTCTTCATTTCATTGATCTTTATTTTAGTCTTTTTTTGTTTATTTCTTCTCTGAGCTTTATTATTTCCTTTTTAGATTGCCAATTTTGCCAATTTTGAGTTTGGTTTGTTCCTGCTTATCTCTCGCCTAAGTCTTAAAGATTAAGAGCTTGTGAACAGAATATTGGCAGAAATATGGACAATGAAGGCCTTTCTGATGAGGTCTCAGATGGAAATGAGGAATATCTTATTAGAAACTGAAGGTAAGGTCATCCTTGTTATAAAGTGGCAATAAACTTGGCTGAATTATCCTCATGACAGAGGACGTTGTGGGAAAAATAATTAAAAAGCAATGAAGCAATGCACTGACCAGGCATGGTGGCTCATGCTTATAATCCCAGCACTTTAGGAGGCTGAGGCAGAAGAATTGCTTGAGCCAGGAGTTCAAGACCAGCCTGAGCAATATAGTGAGACTTTGTCTCTACAAAAACAAACAATCAAATGATAGATAGATGATAGATAGATAGACTACATATATATGGTATATATGTACACATGAATATATAGACAAAAATATTTTATTAATATTTTGCTTAGATATTTCTGTTATATATATACATACACACATACACACACACACACACATATATAAACACATATATAAAAAACAACCAAATAAAATAAAAGTAATACATAATACATATATATATATATAGACATCTGGCCATAGAAATATCTAAGCAAAATATTAATAATCTGTATGGCTTCTATCAACTGCTTAGAGTAAACGCTAGAAGAAAGAAAGTATTTTTTTATTTTTTATTTTTATTTTTATTTATTTTTATTTATTTATTTTTTTATTATACTTTAAGTTTTAGGGTACATGTGCACATTGTGCAGGTTAGTTACATATGTATACATGTGCCATGCTGGTGCACTGCACCCACTAACTCGTCATCTAGCATTAGGTATATCTCCCAATGCTATCCCTCCCCCCTCCCGCCACCCCACAACAGTCCCCAGAGTGTGATATTCCCCTTCCTGTGTCCATGTGATCTCATTGTTCAATTCCCACCTATGAGTGAGAATATGTGGTGTTTGGTTTTTTGTTCTTGCGATAGTTTACTGAGAATGATGTTTTTCAGTTTCATCCATGTCCCTACAAAGGACATGAACTCATCATTTTTTATGGCTGCATAGTATTCCATGGTGTGTATGTGCCACATTTTCTTAATCCAGTCTATCATTGTTGGACATTTGAGTTGGTTCCAAGTCTTTGCTATTGTGAATAATGCCGCAATAAACATACGTGTGCATGTATCTTTATAGCAGCATGATTTATAGTCCTTTGGGTATATACCCAGTAATGGGATGGCTGGGTCAAATGGTATTTCTAGTTCTAGATCCCTGAGGAATTGCCACACTGACTTCCACAATGGTTGAACTAGTTTACAGTCCCACCAACAGTGTAAAAGTGTTCCTATTTCTCCACATCCTCTCCAGCACCTGTTGTTTCCTGACTTTTTAATGATTGCCATTCTAACCGGTGTGAGATGATATCTCGTAGTGGTTTTGATTTGCATTTCTCTGATGGCCAGTGATGATGAGCATTTCTTCATGTGTTTTTTGGCTGCATAAATGTCTTCTTTTGAGAAGTGTCTGTTCATGTCCTTCGCCCACTTTTTGATGGGGTTGTTTGTTTTTTTCTTGTAAATTTGTTTGAGTTCATTGTAGATTCTGGATATTAGCCCTTTGTCAGATGAGTAGGTTGCGAAAATTTTCTCCCATGTTGTAGGTTGCCTGTTCACTCTGATGGTAGTTTCTTTTGCTGTGCAGAAGCTCTTTAGTTTAATTAGATCCCATTTGTCAATTTTGGCTTTTGTTGCCATTGCTTTTGGTGTTTTGGACATGAAGTCCTTGCCCACGCCTATGTCCTGAATGGTAATGCCTAGGTTTTCTTCTAGGGTTTTTATGGTTTTAGGTCTAACGTTTAAATCTTTAATCCATCTTGAATTGATTTTTGTATAAGGTGTAAGGAAGGGATCCAGTTTCAGCTTTCTACATATGGCTAGCCAGTTTTCCCAGCACCATTTATTAAATAGGGAATCCTTTCCCCATTGCTTGTTTTTCTCAGGTTTGTCAAAGATCAGATAGTTGTAGATATGCGGCGTTATTTCTGAGGGCTCTGTTCTGTTCCATTGATCTATATCTCTGTTTTGGTACCAGTACCATGCTGTTTTGGTTACTGTAGCCTTGTAGTATAGTTTGAAGTCAGGTAGTGTGATGCCTCCAGCTTTGTTCTTTTGGCTTAGGATTGACTTGGCGATGCGGGCTCTTTTTTGGTTCCATATGAACTTTAAAGTAGTTTTTTCCAATTCTGTGAAGAAAGGCATTTGTAGCTTGATGGGGATGGCATTGAATCTGTAAATTACCTTGGGCAGTATGGCCATTTTCACGATATTGATTCTTCCTACCCATGAGCATGGAATGTTCTTCCATTTGTTTGTATCCTCTTTTATTTCCTTGAGCAGTGGTTTGTAGTTCTCCTTGAAGAGGTCCTTCACATCCCTTGTAAGTTGGATTCCTAGGTATTTTATTCTCTTTGAAGCAATTGTGAATGGGAGTTCACTCATGATTTGGCTCTCTGTTTGTCTGTTGCTGGTGTATAAGAATGCTTGTGATTTTTGTACATTGATTTTGTATCCTGAGACTTTGCTGAAGTTGCTTATCAGCTTAAGGAGATTTTGGGCTGAGACAATGGGGTTTTCTAGATATACAATCATGTCATCTGCAAACAGGGACAATTTGACTTCCTCCTTTCCTAATTGAATACCCTTTATTTCCTTCTCCTGCCTAACTGCCCTGGCCAGAACTTCCAACACTATGTTGAATAGGAGTGGTGAGAGAGGGCATCCCTGTCTTGTGCCAGTTTTCAAAGGGAATGCTTCCAGTTTTTGCCCATTCAGTATGATATTGGCTGTGGGTTTGTCATAGATAGCTCTTATTATTTTGAAATACGTCCCATCAATACCTAATTTATTGAGAGTTTTTAGCATGAATGGGTTGTTGAATTTTGTCAAAGGCTTTTTCTGCATCTATTGAGATAATCATGTGGTTTTTGTCTTTGGCTCTGTTTATATGCTGGATTACATTTATTGATTTGTGTATATTGAACCAGCCTTGCATCCCAGGGATGAAGCCCACTTGATCATGGTGGATAAGCTTTTTGATGTGCTGCTGGATTCGTTTTGCCAGTATTTTATTGAGGATTTTTGCATCAGTGTTCATCAAGGATATTGGTCTAAAATTCTCTTTTTTTGTTGTGTCTCTGCCTGGCTTTGGTATCAGAATGATGCTGGCCTCATAAAATGAGTTAGGGAGGATTCCCTCTTTTTCTATTGATTGGAATAGTTTCAGAAGGAATGATACCAGTTCCTTCTTGTACCTCTGGAGAATTCAGCTGTGAATCCATCTGGTCCTGAACTCTTTTTGGTTGGTAAGCTATTGATTATTGCCACAATTTCAGATCCTGGTATTGGTCTATTCAGAGATTCACCTTCTTCCTGGGAGAGTGTATGTGTCGAATTTATCCATTTCTTCTAGATTTTCTAGTTTATTTGCGTAGAGGTGTTTGTAGTATTCTCTGATGGTAGTTTGTATTTCTGTGGGATCGGTGGTGATATCTCCTTTATCATTTTTTATTGCATCTATTAGATTCTTCTCTCTTTTTTTCTTTATTAGTCTTGCTAGCAGTCTATCAATTTTGTTGATCCTTTCAAAAAACCAGCTCCTGGATTCATTAATTTTTTGAAGGGTTTTTTGTGTCTCTATTTCCTTCAGTTGTGCTCTGATTTTAGTTATTTCTTGCCTTCTGCTAGCTTTTGAATGTGTTTGCTCTTGCATCTCTAGTTCTTTTAATTGTGATGTTAGGGTGTCAATTTTGGATCTTTCCTGCTTTCTCTTGTGGGCATTTAGTGCTATAAATTTCCCTCTACACACTGCTTTGAATGCGTCCTAGAGATTCTGGTATGTTGTGTCTTTGTTCTTGTTGGTTTCAAAGAACATCTTTATTTCAAAGAACATCTTTATTTCTGCCTTCATTTTGTTATTTACTCAATAGCCATTCAGGCGCAGGTTGTTCAGTTTCCATGTAGTTGAGCGGTTTTGAGTGAGATTTTTAATCCTGAGTTCTAGTTTGATTGCACTGTGGTCTGAGAGATAGTTTGTTATAATTTCTGTTCTTTTACATTTGCTGAGGAGAGCTTTACTTCCAAGTATGTGGTCAATTTTGGAATAGGTGTGGTGTGGTGCTGAAAAAAATGTATATTCTGTTGATTTGGGATGGAGAGTTCTGTAGATGTCTATTAGGTCTGCTTGGTGCAGAGCTGAGTTCAATTCCTGGGTATCCTTGTTGACTTTCTGTCTCGTTGATCTGTCTAATGTTGACAGTGGGGTGTTAAAGTCTCCCATTATTAATGTGTGGGAGTCTAAGTCTCTTTGTAGGTCACTCAGGACTTGCTTTATGAATCTGGGTGCTCCTGTATTGGGTGCATATATATTTAGGATAGTTTGGTGTTCTTGTTGAATTGATCCCTTTACCATTATGTAATGGCCTTCTTTGTCTCTTTTGATCTTTGTTGGTTTAAAGTCTGTTTTATCAGAGACTAGTATTGCAACCCCTGCCTTTTTTTGTTTTCCATTTGCTTGGTAGAACTTCCTCCATCCTTTTATTTTGAGCCTATGTGTGTCTCTGCACGTGAGATGGGTTTCCTGAATACAGCACACTGATGGGTCTTGACTCTTTATCCAACTTGCCAGTCTGTGTCTTTTAATTGGAGCATTTAGTCCATTTACATTTAAAGTTAATATTGTTATGTGTGAATTTGATCCTGTTATTATGATGTTAGCTGGTGATTTTGCTCGTTAGTTGATGCAGTTTCTTCCTAGTCTTGATGGTCTTTACATTTTGGCATGATTTTGCAGCGGCTGGTACCGGTTTTTCCTTTCCATGTTTAGTGCTTCCTTCAGGAGCTCTTTTAGGGCAGGCCTGGTGGTGACAAAATCTCTCAGCATTTGCTTGTCTGTAAAGTATTTTATTTCTCCTTCGCTTATGAAGCTTAGTTTGGCTGGATATGAAATTTTGGGTTGAAAATTCTTTTTTTTTCACTCTTTTTTTTTTTTTATTGATCATTCTTGGGTGTTTCTCGCAGAGGGGGATTTGGCAGGGTCATAGGACAATAGTGGAGGGAAGGTCAGCAGATAAACAAGTGAACAAAGGTCTCTGGTTTTCCTAGGCAGAGGACCCTGGGGCCTTCCGCAGTGTTTGTGTCTCTGGGTACTTGAGATTAGGGAGTGGTGATGACTCTTAACCATCATGCTGCCTTCAAGCATCTGTTTAACAAAGCACATCTTGCACCGCCCTTAATCCATTTAACCCTGAGTGGACACAGCACATGTTTCAGAGAGCACCGGGTTGGGGGTAAGGTCATAGATCAACAGCATCCCAAGGCAGAAGAATTTTTCTTAGTACAGAACAAAATGGAGTCTCCTATGTCTACTTCTTTCTACACAGACACAGCAACAATCTGATTTCTCTATCTTTTCCCCACATTTCCCCCTTTTCTATTCGACAAAACCGCCATCGTCATCATAGCCCGTTCTCAATGAGCTGCTGGGTACACCTCCCAGATGGGGCGGCAGCCGGGCAGAGGGGCTCCTCACCTCCCAGAAGGGGCGGCCGGGCAGAGGCGCCCCCCACCTCCCGGACAGGGCGGCGGCCGGGCAGAGGCGCACCCCCACCTCCCTCCCGGACGGGGCGGCTGGCCGGGCGGGGGCTGACCCCCACCTCCCTCCCGGACGGGGCGGCTGGCCAGGTGGGGGCTGACCCCCCACCTCCCTCCCGGCGGGGCGGCTGGCCGGGCGGGGGCTGCCCCCCACCTCCCTCCCGGACGGGGCAGCTGCCGGGCGGGGGCTGCCCCCCCACCTCCCAGATGGGGCAGCTGCCGGGCAGAGATGCTCCTCACTTCCCGGACGGGGCGGCTGCTGGGCGGAGGGGCTCTTCACTTCTCAGACGGGGCGGCCGGGCAGAGACGCTCCTCACCTCCCAGACACGGCGGTGGGGCAGAGGCGCTCCCCACATCTCAGACGATGGGCGTGGGCGGCCGGGCAGAGACGCTCCTCACTTCCTAGACGGGATGGCAGCTGGGAAGAGGCGCTCCTCACTTCCCAGACTAGGCAGCCGGGCAGAGGGGCTCCTCACATCCCAGATGATGGGCGGCCACGCAGAGACGCTCGTCACTTCCCAGACGGGGTGGCGGCCAGGCAGAGGCTGCAATCTCAGCACTTTGGGAGGCCAAGGCAGGCGGCTGGGAGGTGGAGGTTGTAGCTAGCCAAGATCATGCCACTACACTCCAGCCTGGGCAACATTGAGCACTGAGTGAACGAGACTCCTTCTGCAATCCTGGCACCTCGGGAGGCTGAGGCTGGCAGATCACTCCCGGTTAGGAGCTGGAGACCAGCCTGGCCAACACAGCGAAACCCCGTATCCACCAAAAAAATACGAAAACCAGTCAGGCATGGCAGCGCGCGCCTGCAATCGCAGGCACTCGGCAGGTTGAGGCAGGAGAATCAGGCAGGGAGGTTGCAGTGAGCAGAGATGGCGGCAGTACAGTCCAGCTTCGGCTCCGCATCGGAGGGAGACCGTTGAAAGAGAGGGAGAGGGAGACCGTGGGGAGAGAGAGAGGGAGAGGGAGAGGGAGCAAAAATTCTTTTCTTTAAGAATGTTGAATATTGGCCCCCACTCTCTTCTGGCTTGTAGGGTTTCTGCCGAGAGATCCGCTGTTAGTCTGATGGGCTTACCTTTGAGGGTAACACGACCTTTCTCTCTGGCTGCCCTTAACATTTTTTCCGTCATTTCAACTTTGGTGAATCTGACAATTATGTGTCTTGGAGTTGCTCTTCTCGGGGAGTATCTTTGTGGCGTTCTCTGTATTTCCTGAATCTGAACGTTGGCCTGCCTTGCTAGATTGGGGAAGTTCTCCTGGATAATATCCTGCAGAGTGTTTTCCAACTTGGTTCCATTCTCCCCATCACTTTCAGGTACACCAATCAGATGTAGATTTGGTCTTTTCACATAGTCCCATATTTCTTGGAGGCTTTGCTCATTTCTTTTTATTCTTTTTTCTCTAAACTTCCCTTCTCACTTCATTTCATTCATTTCATCTTCCATCGCTGATACCCTTTCTTCCAGTTGATCGCATCGGCTCCTGAGGCTTCTGCATTCTTCACGTAGTTCTCGAGCCTTGGTTTTCAGCTCCATCAGCTCCTTTAAGCACTTCTCTGTATTGGTTATTCTAGTTATACATTCTTCTAAATTTTTTTCAAAGTTTTCAACTTCTTTGCCTTTGGTTTGAATGTCCTCCCGTAGCTCAGAGTAATTTGATCGTCTGAAGCCTTCTTCTCTCAGCTCGTCAAAGTCATTCTCCATCCAGCTTTGTTCCATTGCTGGTGAGGAACTGCGTTCCTTTGGAGGAGGAGAGGCGCTCTGCTTTTTAGAGTTTCCCGTTTTTCTGTTATGTTTTTTCCCCATCTTTGTGGTTTTATCTACTTTTGGTCTTTGATGATGGTGATGTACAGATGGGTTTTTGGTGTGGATGTCCTTTCTGTTTGTTAGTTTTCCTTCTAACAGACAGGACCCTCAGCTGCAGGTCTGTTGGAATACCCTGCCATGTGAGGTGTCAGTGGGCCCCTGCTGGGGGGTGCCTCCCAGTTAGGCTGCTCGGGGGTCAGGGGTCAGGGACCCACTTGAGGAGGCAGTCTGCCCATTCTCAGATCTCCAGCTGCATGCTGGGAGAACCACTGCTCTCTTCAAAGCTGTCAGACAGGGACATTTAAGTCTGCAGAGGTTACTGCTGTCTTTTTGTTTGTCTGTGCCCTGCCCCCAGAGGTGGAGCCTACAGAGGCAGGCAGGCCTCCTTGAGCTGTGGTAGGCTCCGCCCAGTTGGAGCTTCCCGGCTGCTTTGTTTACCTAATCAAGCCTGGGCAATGGCGGCCGCCTCTCCCCCAGCCTGGCTGCTGCCTTGCAGTTTGATCTCAGACTGCTGTGCTAGCCATCAGCGAGACTCCGTGGGCATAGGACCCTCCAAGCCAGGTGCCAGATATAATCTCGTGGTGCGCCGTTTTTTAAGCCTGTCGGAAAAGCGCAGTATTCGGGTGGGAGTGACCCGATTTTCCAGGTGCTGTCCGTCACCCCTTTCTTTGACTCGGAAAGGGAACTCCCTGACCCCTTGCGCTTCCCAAGTGAGGCAATGCCTCGCCCTGCTTCGGCTCGCGCACGGTGCGCGCACCCACTGACCTGCACCCACTGTCTGGCACTCCCTAGTGAGATGAACCTGGTACCTCAGATGGAAATGCAGAAATCACCGTCTTCTGCGTCGCTCATGCTGGGAGCTGTAGACTGGAGCTGTTCCTATTCGGCCATCTTGGCTCCTCCCCCAGAAAGAAAGAATTTAAAGACAGTTTATCACTAAAAGGGAAGCAGAGCATAAAGACAGAAAATTCTCAGCCTGGGTTTTCTTCTCCATCTAAGACTCCCATAATGCATATGTTGTTTAGCTTGATGGTGTTTCACAATTTCTTTTTGTTCTGTATACTTTTCTTCATTCCTTCTTGTTTCTTCTACTTAGATCAGATAAGTTCAATTGTCCTATCTTCAAGTATTTTCAAGAAAAGAAGACTTTTTTTCTCTTTGAACAAATCTGCTGTTGAGCAACCCTACTACATTTTTCATTGTAGTTACTGTGCCTTTCCAATCCAGAATTTTCATTTATTTCCTTTTTGTAATTTTCTTTGTTAAAAATGCTTATTTTGTTCATATATTAGTTTTTTGATTCTTCTGGGTTTTTTTTTTTTTTGTCCATGTTTTCCCTTAGCTCTTTGACTATACTTCAAACTGTTGTTTTATGGACTTAGTCTAGTAAGTCTGGTGTCTAGGTTCTATTGGGGATGATTTCTGTCAATTATTTTGTTCTTTTGAATAAGCCATGTCTTACTGTTTCTTTGTATACTTTGTACTTTTTGTTGTTTATGACAATAGGGTATTTGATTATTACAGTGTGGTAACTGAGAACATATTCTCATTCCTTCCGGTAATGCTTTTGAAAAGTTTAGTTGTTGAAGGATATAAGGCATTTGTTTAGATATTTTTCCAAACAAATTTAGTCAAGCCTATCTGGTTTTGTGTGCTCAGTAAAGATGCTGTTCCTTTAGCTTGCATTAACTAATGTTTTGGCAAAGGTTTCTTTAATTATTGGAGTATTTTGAAGATGGCATTTTCTTGATGTATGTTTGTTTGTTTGTTGTAAACCTTTGCATTTTTTTCCAAAGCTCTTACACAGTTGATTCAGATAGCTGAATTTCTAGGTTTTTTCTTTTTCAATGTTTCTATGGGGGAAGGAGAGCTTGCAGTTTTCCAGCCTGATATTTTACTGATGTCACTCTCACTTAAAACTTTTTAAAACATCTATGATTTCAAAAATAATACATTATAATTCATGAAAAGCCAGATGAGACACACAAAGAGAGAACTAAATTCAAGAAGATTTTTAAAAGACTAAACACAATACACACACACAGACACACACATACACACGATTACTCAAACCTAACTCATTTCTAGAACTTCTGTGTACCCCCAAACAGTCCCTTCACGTCATTGAAATAGTCTGCTAATTTATACAACATTGTGACTAGGGGGTTTCCTGGCTGTATCTTTTCAGTATCTGTGATATTATGATTTTATATATATATATATATATTTTATATATAATATATACACACACACACACACACACACATACACACATAGGTTTTCATCCATAGTTCCTGGCTTACAATGCCCACAACCTTATTATAGTTTTGTTATAATTAATGTTGGAGTGCTTTAGGCCTCAGAAACAGACCTGAAGAATCAGAATCCCTCTCTCTCTCTCTGACCTTTTCCTGTCCTTTTTCACCTATCCAAGGCAGGACTAATCTGATTATGGGGCAGAAGACCCTCATTCCAGAGGGGGTCCTACCCAATATCCTAAAGGAAGAATGGTAAACACAGAGGCGAAGACTGAACAGACAGGCCTTGCTGGGTTTAAACCATGCACTTTCTCCAATCACATTTCTGTGTGGTTGTCAATCATGCCTATGTAATGAAACCTCTATAAAAACTCAAAAGGGTAGGGTTCAGAGAGCTTCTGGATAGCTGAGCATGTGGGGGCTCCTTGATGATTGTGCACAAGGAGGGCATGGAAGCTCTGTGCCCCTTGCACCATACCTCACCCTATGCATCTCTTCTTCTGTATCATATATAATACCCTTTATAATAACTGGGTAAGCGTAAGTGTTTTCCTGAGTTCCATTCCAACAAATTAACCAAACTCCAAAAAGGAGTCATGGGAACCCCAAATTGAAGCTTGTTGATCAGAAGTTCTGGAGGCCTACACATGTGACTGGTAGCTGAAGCTGGGGACTGGATGCCTAACCTGGGGAATCTGACACTATACCCAGGTAGATGGTGTCAGAATTGATTTGAAGGACACACAGCTAGTATCTGCTGCTTGGTGTGTGTGAAAAACAAAAACAAAAACACTTTTGGTCACAGAAGTCTTCTTTAGTGTTGATTGTTGTTGCAGTGTGAGAGCAGAGGACAAAAACGATTTGACAGATTGCTGAAAACAGTACCTGAATATAAAAAGCAGCCTAATTATCTTTCGAATATCACTTCCCTTATGTCATCCCCATTCTTACAGATTTCAGTCAATATTTCCCGTCATGTCAAATAATAAACGGATAACTAGCTATTACTCCTCCCCAAAGGGCTCAATCCTTTTTATCTGTTCCTATTTTTCAATAATTCTTAATATACATATAATGTATAAATTAGTACATTTTATAATTCTTACCATTACAATTACTTTTATTCCTCTTTCTACTTTTATTACATTACTTTCTTCTAGAAATTATTATTTTTTTTTATTGTGGCCAATTAATTTCAGGCTGAGATCAACTCATTCTTGTACTTTTAAAGTATTTCTGACTGCACTGAATTTAAAACAAATCTTTCAATGTTGCACACATTTAAATATTAATATATTCTTCTTTTCTAAATATTACCTTGTGTAAATCCTCCCAACTAAAAGGTATGACTCATAAGAGGAGAAAAATAAATGAGGTAAGCTGCTGTAGGTAACTTCCTTATACCAAATTGAGTCTGTTTTCATGCAATTCTATGTTAAAACTATTTTTGAAAAGGAAAGGCAGATGGTTTCTGAGATAATTTCATGATGTGCTAATTCTGGATTGAGTCAGAAAGAAGCTAAAGTCAGATCCTTTATAGAAAATTAACTCTTGAGGTGTACTTAGCTTATGATAAAATACACAGATTTTAAGGGTGCAGCTTGATTAGCTTTTATTTGAAATCACCATTGCAATCAAGATATTTGACTGATACTTTACCTTTTTCCAGAAAGGTCCTTTTATGCCCCATTCCCCTGCTCACACATCTAGAAACTAATAATTACATTTCTATTTCCATAGATTAATATGAAGTATCCTAGAACTTCATACAAATTAAAACATAATCTACTCCATTTGGTCTGGCTTCTTTGTCTCATAATTTCTTTGAAATTCAACCATGATCTTGCATGTTTCAGAAGTTTGTTCATGTTATAACAGAGGAGTATTTCAATGAATGAATATATCAGTTTGTTTATCCATTCACCTATCAAGGACTGGTTCTTGGTTTCCAGATTGTAGAATACATTTATGAATAATACTGCTATGAACATTCATAGACAAGACTATGTGGTAAGTTCCTAGGACTGAAATTGCTGGATCAAAGCGTAGGTATATGTTTAACTTGATAAGAAATTATAGTTACACACCCTAATTTTTCTCATGACATTTTACTCTCCAGTTCATCCATTACCCTCAGCTCCATTTGATTTCTATAACCTCTAAGTCTATCCTCAAAATTCTTTTAAGAAGTTTCTACTTTCCTTATCATTGTATATGCTTCCCTCTTTTAATTACATGTTGAATCCTTCCCTCATTTAGGCTTGAGAAAAATGTCCTTAAGTGTCGTAAACTTGCATCAAACCCACTTACTCATCAAACCCCACTTATGACTTCCCTTAGAGGACAAGCGACATTTCAGCTCAGTTATACACTGCTTTTCTCAATTCCTGCCATTTTTTTCTCTTCCTTTGCCCCCTGGCCTACGTCTCCAGCTCACTGAAAACAGCCTCCCCTGATGAGCACACCATTGTTATGTAATAGCCTAACCCTTACCCCTCGCCTATCAGGGGGTGCCAAGCCTGCAGACTCACTCTGCCTTCCTCAAAACTGCCCTGAGGAGAAGGCTGAAGACTGAGGAATCCTCTTTCTGCCTCCCATTTGACTGCATTTTCTTTGGTCAAAGGCTTCCTTATTCATGGGACCTGCCTGGGTCCAGGACCCCTTGACAGGTGCTCTCTGGCTGCCTGTCCTCTGGGCACTCTTGTCCCAGGTCTATTGTTTTCATGACCCACCAGGATGGCGCTTCACTTCCTCAGAAATTGTGATCCCCAGGAAAGTGCCCCACAAGAGGGGTGGAGTTGAGATGCCAGACCAGCTCTCTTACAGCATGCGTTTCCGGGGCCAAAGACACGTGATTCACATGAAGCTCAAGAAGAACATGATGCCCAGACATTTACCTGTTTTTACTGATAATGACCAAGGGGCCATGCAGGAGAACTACCCTTTTGTCCCACGAGACTGTTACTATGACTGCTACCTGGAAGGGGTTCCTGGGTCTGCGGCCACATTGGACACCTGCCGTGGAGGTCTGCATGGCATGCTGCAGGTGGATGACTTGACTTACGAAATCAAACACCTGGAGGCTTCTTCCAAATTTGAGCATGTAGTATCTCTGCTTGTGTCAGAAGAAAGACCAGGAGAGGCTAGTAGATGTAAGACTGAAGGGGAAGAGATAGATCAAGAATCTGAAAAGGTAAAACTGGCTGAAACTCCCAGAGCAGGCCACGTTTATTTGTGGAGGCATCATAGAAAAAACTTGAAAATTCACTACACGGTTACTCGTGGATTATTCATGCGGAACCCTAATGTGTCACATATAATAGAGAATGTAGTGATTATTAACAGCATCATACATACCATTTTCAAACCAGTTTATTTAAATGTCTATATATGTGTTTTGTGCATATGGAATCAAAAGGATGCAGTACTATTTTCTGCTAGCAGGCCAGGCCACGTTGCTGTAGAACTGTTTGGTGTGTGGAAATATCACAATTTGTATTCAGAAATTTCACATGATACCTCAGTTGTTTTTACATCAAATCGACTTGGAAACAGTGAGTGTTATGCCAGCTTTGATGGAATATGCACCCCCAACTGGGGAGCAATGTTTGTGTATATAATGAGGTATCACCTATTTAGGGGGGCATGTGTTACAGCACATGCACTAGGTCATAACATGGGCTTGAGACATGATTCTGTTGGTTGTTATTGTTTTCGACGAACCAACTGTCTCATGACCCTGTTCCTGATCTTAATGATATGATGAGCAATTGTTCTTATGAGATAATTCAACGCAAGTTTAATCAATGGGATCCTTGTTTGAGTGCTCCAAATGTTCCATACACTAATTTTCCATACGTAGCTCCTCGTTGTGGAGACAAGATCAAAAATCAGAGGGAAGAATGTGACTGTGGCTCCCTTAAAGATTGTGCCAGTGATAGATGTTGTGAGACCTCTTGTACCCTTTCTCTTGGCAGTGTTTGCAATACAGGACTTTGCTGCCATAAGTGTAAATATGCTGCCCCTGGAGTGGTTTGCAGAGACTTGGGTGGTATATGTGATCTACCGGAATACTGTGATGGGAAAAAGGAAGAGTGTCCAAATGACATCTACATCCAGGATGGAACCCCATGTTCAGCAGTATCTGTTTGTATAAGAGGAAACTGCAGTGACCGTGATATGCAGTGTCAAGCCCTTTTTGGCTACCAAGTGAAAGACGGTTCCCCAGCGTGCTATCGAAAATTGAATAGGATTGGTAACCGATTTGGAAACTGTGGGGTTATTCTACGGCGAGGGGGAAGTAGACCTTTTCCATGTGAAGAAGATGATGTTTTTTGTGGAATGTTGCACTGTAGCGGTGTCAGCCACATTCCCGGTGGAGGTGAGCACACTACATTTTGTAATATATTAGTACACGACATAAAAGAAGAAAAATGCTTTGGCTATGAAGCACACCAGGGGACAGACTTGCCAGAAATGGGGCTGGTAGTGGATGGTGCAACCTGTGGCCCAGGGAGCTACTGTCTTAAACGCAATTGTACTTTTTATCAAGACCTGCATTTTGAGTGTGATCTTAAAACATGCAATTACAAAGGAGTATGTAACAACAAAAAACATTGTCATTGTCTGCATGAGTGGCAACCACCAACATGTGAACTGAGAGGAAAAGGAGGTAGTATAGATAGTGGCCCTCTACCTGACAAACAATATCGTATTGCAGGCAGCATACTTGTAAATACAAACCGAGCACTAGTTTTAATATGTATTCGTTACATCCTTTTTGTGGTTTCGCTTCTCTTTGGTGGCTTTTCACAAGCAATACAATGTTAGGGAAGAGAAAGGAAAAGAGCCCACACAATGGAGTAAATTACATTGACACTTACTGGGAGATATAATCAATAGTCACTCTGACAATTACATCATCTTTTAGCAATTCTGATGTCATCTTGAAATAAAATCACTTGGCAATTTAAAAAGGTCTGTGTGTTTAAATTTACTTAACATTTCATGTCTGGTCACATTCTCAATACTTCTATAGATGATGGCAGCAACTCCTAGATTCACTAACAAGAGGACTTGTACTCATGTAAGATTTGGGGTCTAATGTTTTCTAGATACCCCTGTGGCAAATCCTGTTTGCACTAATATACATTTGCTTTGCTTTAACACTCTTAAGGTCTTTTTCTTTTTCTTATTTTTTGAGACAGGGTCTCACTCTGGCGCCCAGGCTGCCAGGCTGGAATGCAGTGGTGCAATCTTGGCTCACTGCAACCTCTGCCTCCTGAGTTCAAGCAATTCTCCTGCTTCAATCTCCTGAGTAGCTGGGATTACAGGCACACACCACCACGCCTGACTAATTTTTGTATTTTTAGGAGAGAGAGGGTTTCACCATGTTGGCCAGATTGGTCTCAAACTCCTGGCCTCAAGTGATTCCCCTGCCTGGGCCTCCCAAAGTGCTGGGATTACAGGCGTTAGCCACCGCACCCAGCCTTAAGGTCTTTTTCTAATTGGTTACATTTGAGATGTTTGCTATTTGTCCATTTTATTGTTAGTGTTAAACAAATAAACATAAAAGGCTACTTTGGCACTTATATGGTAGGATAGATTTTAAAAATCTTTTGTGTCATAAGCACCTTGAATTTCAACAGTGGTTCTACCAACTGCTGATTGTGTGATTATAGGCAAAGTCTTAATATTTCAGAGTTTCAAGGTCCACATTTTACATTCCCAGTTGAAATGTACTTTTCCAAAGCATTGTGACAATCAAAAGAAAGCACTTAGAAAAGCCTGAAACATTTTCGGCACTTGGTACATGCTGTCTGCTATCATTTTCATTATTCTCAGTATTTCTACATTGTGTTAAGCCTGGGGAATCCCATATGTAATTTCTCTGGCTTTTTGTCTTTACCGTTAAACTATTACAGAAAGGGTCATTATTCACTGATAAATCACTTCTCAATTTCTCTGGAAATTAAAGGTATGGGACATCATATTTTAAATCTCCAGGAATTGCCTAAGCCCAGCCTATCTATAAATTGCAGGATGGAACTGACAGTCTGATAAATGTACAGACACAAAATCTTACCTAAAGGGAAACAGGAAGAATCACTTCAGAAATAGTGCACTAAGGTCGGGCACAGTGACTCATGGCTATAATCCCAGCAATTTGGGGGCCTGAGGTGGGAGGATTCCTCGAGGCCAGGAGTTTGAGACCAACCTGGGCATCCTTGTGAGACTCTATCTCTATAAACTATCAAAAAAATAAAAAAAAAAATACCCAGGCATGGTGGCATACACCTGCAGTCATAGCAATTCAGGAGTCTGAGGAGGGAGGATCAGTTTGAGACCAGCCTGGGCAACATAGTGAGACCTTGTCAACACAAAATATAAAGAAATTGGCTAGGCATGGTGGCATGTGCCTGTGGTCCTAGCTACTCAGGAGGCTGAGGCAGGAAGATCACTTGAGGCCAGGGGTTCAAGACCAACCTGGGCAAGATAGCAAGACCCTGTCTCTAAAAAAAATTTAAAAATCAGCCAGGTGTGATAGTGTATCTCTATAGATCCAGCTTCTTGGGAGGCTGAGGCAGGAGGATCACTTGAGACCAGGAGCTGGAGGTTACAGTGAGTCATGATCCTACCACTGCACTCCAGCTGAGTGAAAGAGTGACACACTGTGTGTGTGTGTGTGTGTGTGTGTGTGTCTGGGTGTGTTTTAAAAACTTCTCCCTTGTTTTTAAGGCTTATCATATCCAACAAGAGGTGATGTTCCAGGTCAAATAATAAGAGGGAGCTGGAGATGTGGAAGAAAAGAAGCAAGGGGGACTTTAAGAAGATAGGGATCAGGATAGAAGGGAGGTGAGAATCAGAGGCATAAACTGAGGTAGAAGGGAGGAGTCTTTTGGGAAAAGAAGACCATTGAAGTTGTTGGAAACAGGACTCAAGACTAGAGACTGTTCAAAATATTTCTTTTCTTGGTTTCTTCATACCAATTAAAGTAAGTTATTCGTGGAGTGTCAGCTATTCTGCTACCCTTTTCTTCTAAGGTGACACAAAAATGCACAAGTTTGACATGTCCCAAGTAACCAAAGGCAGTGCATTTCAAATTTATACCTGATGAAATCACACCACTTAAGAATTTAACAGATCTATCAACATTGCACCAGACCATATGTCTACACAGATCTGGCCAGGTGTTTGGGTTGAATAGGAGTTTCCGTAGTAGAAGAAATTTGAGATAATAGAAGAGTCTTGTCCCACCTTAGGAAAGTTGCCTAAACTCTCTGCACATCTAAAGAACTCTGAAAGATGGAAGGAAAATGCTGACTTCAGTCTGACAAAAGGGTACCTAGAAAAAAGTCAAAGCATGCAACCACCATGCTCTGAAAGAAAGTCAGGTGATGGGATGATCTGTGTGGCAAACCACCGTGACAGTGTTTACCTATGTAATGAACCTGCATGTCCTATCCTGCACATGTAACACTGACCTTAAAATAAAAGTTGGAAATCAAGAATAAAAATTTAAATGAGGGAAAAAAAGAAAAGAATCAGAGACCAAGAGCAGGGCTTATCTCTCCACCCAAGGATATATATATATATCACTTGAGACCAGTTTTTTTTAAGTGACTCAGACAGAGGTTAAAGGCATTATTCAATTGAACTACATGAGGGAGTACCTGAAGACCAGGTGATGTCACAAGTGAAGCAGTGTCAAGGTTTTTACAAGATGGGAATGTTTTGGGTAGCTGTCCTTGTCCTTTCAATTTTACCATCAGTGTTCACCTTAACCAAAACTCGTAGATGGAGACTATTCGTATTTCCTTGTCCCTTCTTTGGAGTCTAATAACCAACAGAACAATAATTCTGAGAACTGTCTTTACAAACCTTGTGGGTTTTTGGATAGCCATGGGCTGTGAGAGATATACAGTTTAAAAAAAAAAAGGGGGTTGTGGGAAGGGTGCTGGGCATGGTTGCTCATGCCTATAATCCTAGTACTTTGGGAGGCCAAAGTGGGAGGAATGCTTGAGCCCAAGACTTTGAGACCAGCTTGGGCAACATAGCAAGACCCCACCTTTATAACATTAATTTTATTTTAACTTTAAAAAAATAAAGAGAAGAAGGAAAAAGAAAAAGGACAAAAGTGGGAGTCAGGGAGAACCCAGAGCCCTTGCTGTAATGTTTGTTTTAAATCTTTTGCATCTTCATCCCAGGAGGTTAACACTGCTGCACATATCCATTCACAGTTACGATTGTGTTGGGTGGTTCCAAGTGGCTCCCAAGTGAATCCTCTAGTTTCTTCATATAATCCTCCATGCCTCTACTGGGGCTCAGCAGCCTTACCTCCCCCTGCTATCCAGGGTCAATTACTCCTGCCAAAATGACTCTTCTTTTTACCTGCTTGTCCTTGAACAGAAGATGTCCCAGATGCCCTGAGGGCAGCTTGCAGGTCTATGGAACTTATACTGGGTCCCCTGGCAAAGATGCATTCTCTTTGTGGACCAAGACCTGCCTAGAGAACAGATAGTTGCAGGGAGGGAAGCAGATCAGTGGATCATCAAGTGTGATGATAAGTGAGGCCACCCAGCTTCTCTTCCTTGGTTCTGGGCCCCATATATTCTTTCTATTGCGTATACAACACCATGTAGGAATCTCTGACTAAATATACACAATGCATTGTGAAGGCTGGCACTCAATTCTATTCTTTCAGAATATTGTTTCTGAGCTGGCACTCTGGCCCTGCCTTCTGCAGGCCATTCTAAGCAGTCTAGAATAGATGCTACTAAATATTTGATATATGATACAAACAATATAATTCATTGCTACATGCCATTCTTGCACCTCATACACTAAAGAATGAATGAATCCTCTATTCATATGCCAAGTTGCATGAGATTCCATGCTTAAAGATCCCACAATCCATATACCCCCAGTAGTGGTGCTGGCTCAAGTTCTGCAGACAATATCATAACTAGAATATATATATTTTCTTGTGTGAACTAATCTCTGGCCCTCCCAGGATAAAAGGTGCACAAAGGAGTTAATGTCTCACTAATTTGCTCTTTGGTTTCCTCGAAGAGTAGTACCTTCCCAGAAACTCAGCCTTGATCTGTGTCACTGGCAAGTTGGACATTCATGGCAGAAGTGTCTTGATTAATTCTCTTGGCAAGTGGGAGTCCATGCTATTGAGCCCAATGTACCTGTATCTCTGCCACCATGGCCACTTGTTTGTGTGCCCCTTGAAGAACTCATATATATAGATATCCTCTCAAGAGTGTGAAGACCCAAAATAATGGCTAAAGCAGAAAGCTTTTTTACCTTTAGAAAAAGAACAATACATTTGTGAAGAAATGACAAAAGGATCTAAGCTAGGGACAGTGAATTCCAGGGAAGTCACTAGGAGATATATTGGTAGGGAGGAGGAGTTATAAAGCTAGGGAGAGATAAGAGTTACTTTATTTGTACAGGTCTACTGAAGCAACAATTTCCAATCTTTGGGGATAGGGTTATTTTCTTGTCCTGGTACAGGGAAGGCATCTTTCTCCATGGAATTTTTATGGCTTGCTATATGTGGGAAAAGGCAGGTCAGATAGTCACTTCTGGAAATACAGTTTCCAAAGTGCTTTGAGCTTTGAAGTAATCATATACTAATTTGGCATATTTTAGAGCAGCAAACTTTTAACTCCTTTATTTTCCCTGTCTGAAACTTCCCTAACAGTTTCAAATTAAAAGCTGAGTTAGTGTTTGTGGAGAGAAGAGTTGTGTTAGTAGCTGAGTGGCAAGGGGTCTGCAAAGGGAGAGAAGAACACAGATTAGAAGGAGAATTAATAAGCAGAAAAGAACAAATCTAAACACATTTACCCATACTGCATTCAACCAATCTCCTATCACTGGCAATGGGTCAGTCCAATTGAATGGTTTAGCCTCATTTATAAGATGAAGAGTGTTTATTTTGTCTTTCAAAAAGTTCAGATTAGATTCTGTCTGTCCCTAGTGATTTACACATAAGCAGGGTTCCTCACCAATGATTGCATAAGCTCCTCCTTCTTGGGCTGTCATTGTATCCAGGACATGGTGATTCTGAAGTACAACAGAGGCTAAACTGTTCACTTCTGATTGGAGTCTTCTCAGTGCTTGCATAGTAATACTGACTCCTGTTCTATTACTATGGAAACATTGAGAATTGCCCTTTCCCTCTCATAAGTTCCAAAGCCTGGGAAAATGGATCTCAGCATGGAAAGGAACTTAGAATTGTGACATATAAGTGGATTTTCTATAAAATCTCATTTAGTACGCTTGTGTATCACTACTTTATAAACGAAGGAGCCCAAGTTTATAATTTGGCTGGCATTGAAGGAGGAGTACCTGGTGGCAAAGTGTTAGGTATCTGAGTCCCCATCATTCTGACCATGTAGGTGGGAACCCTTCATAGACCTTGTCACCACACAAGATAAAAAGACCAGTGTGGTTCACAAATAACGTTAGAGTGAAACTCGTGACCCTACAGATTGGGGTTTGTTGTGCTTTGTCTTCCGTCATATTGGCATCTGTGTATCTATATGTGCCCCTGTCAATCCGAAGGAGTAGAATAGATTGCAGAATATCAATTTAGTTTGGTTTTGGCAGCTATAGGACTTGATTTTGTCACCTGGCCAAGTTATTCCACATTTTTTGAATACTCACCATGCTATCACCATGTAATCTTTGGTGCCTATCAGTCTAATGAGAGGAGCAAGTGAGCAAATCCAAGTTGCACAGGGCTGACTTCTGGGCCATCCATAACATGTGGTGATGTGGCAAGTGTTTGTACCATAAGATTCAGTGTCAGGACCATTTATGACCTTTGTGAGAGGCTTATATGTGTTGTCTGTGGCATCAAGTCACAGGGTTTGATTGTACTACTGCCTTGGGAAGTTACCTATGAAAGGTCCTGCACCATCTCTGCTTTCAGTACAAAGGGAAAAATCCCTTTCTAATGTCTTTACCTAAACAAATGACAGTCCTCAACCTTCTATACAGGTGTCCAACTCACCAGAAAGAGAAGTAGTGTGACGTTGTTTTCTTTTCATGGAAGCCATACCTTGTCATGCGTCTGTGCTCCGGATTTGACCCACCAGGCACTTGCATCAGCAGGAACAAAAATAAGTTCACATAATTTTGCATAATCTAGATGCTGATATACCCAGCAATCAGATGGCTTAGTTCACGTGGCCACGGTTTGGAAAACTCATGCAAAGGGATGTCATGTCAGTTCTGTGCCTAAACTGTTATGAAAACAGTAAGGGTTAATAACAATAAGACACAGTTTGAAAGAAAGTCCATAGTGGAGGATCACAGGGAGAATTGAATAGACTGAGACAGTCTCCAGTCAGCTTTTTCAATAGGTGCTCAAAGAACAAAGAAGACTTTGTGAAGAACAGAGTTTTTTGAAGTTTTCTTTGGGGGGAAAGTAGAGAGACCCAGTTCCTGTTATACTAAATGAACAGCCTCACTTGGGCCCCAACACCACAGAGAAGTTCCATGAGGACTGGGGAAGCTGTCATGCTCATTCACACATTTCTTATCAGTTGAGAGTTGCTTTCACATGCGTTAACTCCTTCTTGCTTCCAGCCTGCTCCATCAATGGGCTGAGCTCACCCCCATAAAGTAGAATGCCATTAGTGTACATAGTTGTCATCAGTACTACAGACAACCTCAAGGTTCAGCCTAAGAGGATACAGGCAGGTACCACTAGAATCTGCTGTACCATACTTTCCAGCCCTAAATACCTTTACTTTTACTCTCATTTCCCTAGGATTGTATTTTCCAAATAAACCATTTAGATTTATTCCTTGCTTCAGCATATGTTTTCTAAGGAACCTGGGTACAGTAGATGCTGAAAGCTCACCCTCCATCTTCTTGTCCCACTTGAGTTCACTTGCAGCCACAGTAGACAATCTTCATGCTCTGAGAGTTTACTACTTCACATGCTTATATCTCAGATATTCTTTTCCTTACAGCTTTCTCCTGAACCATGGAATATTAATCAAAGGTGTGTTTCACATGACTTCTCAGAAAGCCTACAGGGATGACTCCAGTAGTACACAGAGAAAACTTGTTCATTAGTCTGCCCTGTTTTGTGCTTCCCCAGAAAACTAACTCCACCTAAATCCTTGTCTCTGGGTCTGCTTTTTGGGCAATCCAAATTAAAACAGGTGGTAAGACTCTATGCTTCTTATAAAAAGGTTAATTCTACCCACCAATCCTGATATAATTGACTGATATAGCTCTAATTAACTCAATGAATATAAAATAACTATGCAGCTTTTCTTAAAATAAGAATATTGCAAAATGCACTGCTTCTTGTAAAAATTTACAAGTAAAATAAGGTGACTCTAACAAATTAACTTTAAAATACAATACAGGATACCAATTTACCAGCAAAGCAGTGATAAAGGATTTATTCTATGAAGTGTATCAGGACAACAGGCTACCCATTTGGAAAAGTATACAATTAGATACCTATCTCATTCCTTATAGCAAAATAAATTCCACAATTAAGCATAAGAGCTGAAACCAACATAATCCCAGAAAAGTAATCTCAAGCAGAAATACAAAACTCGGCAAATATAAAAGAACATTAGGCTGACAAATTTTACCGTAATCAACTTCAATGGCTTTTTACCATAAAGCTTTTCAAAAAAGAACCAATAAACTGGAGCAGCTATCTTTTGTCTCCATATGGATGTGTACACTTACAACATGTGGAGCTTTCTCTGATTTGACCAGATTGTATTCTTGATTCACTCCTCCCTCCTTGTATGGCTCCAGTAGCTGTCCTCTGCTTCTTTTTGCTAGCACATTGTTGGACCCTCTCCATCTCTATTCCTAGAGGACATCAAATCATAAAGGGGTGACCACAAAGTGATGGGGCACACAAGTGGAACACTTACCATTTCATAAGGAATGCTTCTACGAAGATATAACATTTAACCTCTATTGAGAGAAAATAGGAGTTTTCCAGGGCAAGGGAGTAGGGGCAGGGTGGTAAACAGCATTTTGGGAATGGGGATTTCATGTACAAATATGCAGAGAATGACACAGCCAAATATATTCTAAACATGAAATAGATAGAAGATGCAAAGTTGGCAAAGCATAATGAAAAATGATATGCAAAAGGTATTTTGACTCAATTTACAGAGTGCCATTCAGAAGTTAACTGATCAATACAAAGGGTATCTGACTCACTCTGTGTTTTCAAGAGACAGGCTTTCCAAAAACACTGAGAATAGACGGAGAAGATACACTGGGGGAAGAAAAGACCAGCAAACTGCACCAGGTACAAACAGCAGCATTTTAAATATTCAAAGTTTAATTTTGAGCAAGAGCTCCAGTAGTTTAAAAAAGAGGATCAGAATGACATCCCAAGGTATCAAAATATTATTTTTACTTTTCATAATTTCATTTATTTAATACTCCATTCAGATTCATGATTTCATTTAAGTATTTATTGTGTAGTAAGCACTGTGCACTGTTCCGGCTATCAAGGATACAATGATGAGCAAAACAGATGAAAACAACCCCACCCTCATGGAGATTATATTTTGGTATGTGAAGCAAGCAAATGCTCCAAAAGGATATCCAAACTGCCAAATTAAGACAAAGAGCTAGGAAGCACACAGGGAGCAAGATCAGGAGATTTCATCAGATAACAATCTGTTTATACTTAACAAAAATTCACTTATTTCTCTCTTTTGGTTACCAAATAAAACCAAGAAGTTGGGTGGGACAAATATTATTATGAACCCTACCCCTTTTCAGATTTTGAAGCAGAACATCAGAAAATTTAAGTAATTTTCCCACATTGATAAATGTCAGTAGAGAGGTAAGCCTCACCCCTGGACACTCTGAGGCAGAAACATCTCATACATTTCCCATAAGTCATCTCTATGCACAAGAAACACAACAAGGACTAAAGGGAGGGAAGGATGTAGCTTTATTTGCTGCTTAAAACAATAAACAATAGATAGAAACATGTTAAGAATAACTTGAACTTAATGACAATGTTTGTGGTACTAATGTAAGGGAAGATCTTTGCAGCTTTCTGGAAATGGTCAGAAATGTGCTCAGTTTCAGGGATGTACTAATGTTTCTACTGCCAAGAGACTAAAGTGTACTAATGCATGGAATATTAAGTTAGAGACATTTTCTTAACCTGATGAATGAGCCTTAGTTTCTTTGGGACCAGAACATTGTCGTAGATACATAAGAAGCCCGACAGTAAACAGGAAAGTCAAAACAGACAAAGAAGGAATCACAATCAGCGGCAAAAAAACTCCTCTCTTTGCAGATGCTGGGCCACTGTCAATACTGCCCCCATAGCCTCTGTGCTGGCAGTAGGGTGGGGACCACCCATAGCCACAGTGGCAGTGATGTTTGTTATTGCAGATCCCCTTCATATTGCAGGTCTCAGGAAGGCAGACATGTGACAAGACAGACAGACTGACACACTTCTTATGGATGCAGATCTTTCCTGGGCCACACACAGTACCATCTTTCACTTCACCAATGTCAGATATGTTCATCCTTAAATGATAGTCAATACCCCAGCAGGTGACACCATTGATATGAGTGTGCTGCAAAGTAAAATGATCTTGGAGAAGAGGAATGTCTCTCACATTCTCACATTGAACTCTCCCACAAAAGACATCAGAGATATGACATTTTAGGTATGTTGTGCCATTTATACCACAGTGACCAAAACGGTTTCCCTGAGAATTGATTTCTTTATAGCAATTCTGAGATGCACTTTTTGCATCTTTACCAAAAATCTCCCTGCAATGCTGGTCATGGTTATTACACCTCTTTTGATAGCAGTAGGCACTGTCACTACAGGGGATCCCGTCCTGCACATATCTATCTTCTGGACACTGATGAGATGTTCCATTGCACCATTCTGGAAGGTCACATTCATTGACCTCTTGTCTACAGAGTTCCCCTGATGGCATGAACTTGCAGTCTTTGCAACAAAGCCCAAAAGCACAGGCAGCCCCAGGCCTTAGAGTGCAGTTCAACAGACAACAGGCGTCTTGTTCACACTGCTGTACGGATCCACAGTCACACTGCTCTTCTCTTTCAACCACACCATTCCCACAGCGCTTTAGCATAAAGATTTCCCCCAATCTTGGAGGATTATGCAGACATGATCCCTGGTTTAAGGTGGTCTTCATAAAATCAGCGTAACTGCAATTGGTGAATTTCTCTGCTGGCACTCTAAAAGTATTCATGATGCAACCTCTTTCCCCACAAAAACAGAATTCTTCATCATGCTGCATACCTAACGTATGACCTAACTCATGGGCCACAGTGTTGGCAAAAAGAGACCAGGTATCTCCTTGAAAATTATCAACTCCACAATCAATAGGTGGACGACATATTCCTGCAACATAGGCTAGGCCAAGTATACTTATAAGTGAATTTTTTATGAACATATGTGCAGCATCATGCTGTAGCTGGGAAAGACTGATTTGTTTCCATTGAGAGAAATCGTTCAGGACCTGTTCTATGCTTGTCATTGGGAAAACATTTCCTTGATTCCAAATTTCAATTCCAATCAAAATTATGTAAGTACCTAACTGCTTATACATGGAATCCACTATGTTGACAACAAGAAATACATCCTCTTGCACCTTTGAGATGTTGCTTTGAGAGTAAATGAAGAAATCATGGTTCACCACAACAACTAGCTCCAGAAACCATGCATGAGTCCACCAGTCACCAGCAGATTTTGGTTCCAGAGCTGAGTTCTCAGCCTCTTCAAATTCCAACTGTTGGCGTGCTACTTCCTTCTCTGTTAAGCCACATCTCATAGCTGGGAATTGTGTCTCATTACTGTTTATCTTATAAACCAGGTGTTCAAATGTGGCAGAGTGCCTGATGGGTTCAATTTCATAAGTGAGGCCACTTATTTTTAATACTCCTCGAAAGCCCCCAAAACAAGCACTGAACACAACCAGAGACTCAGGGGCTGCCTCCACGTAACCATGATAGTAACAGTCATCTGGGATGAAGAGCTGATCCTCCAGGAGTGCACGGTCATCTGTGTAGGTGAACACTGGGAGGTGTCTAGAAACTAAGAGCTTCTTGACCCTCATATGAACAACGTGTTTCTGGCCCCCAAACCGCAGACTATAGGAGAGCCATCCAGGAGCCTTTGCACTTCTGCCCCTGCTGATCACCTTCAAGGGGATCACCACTTCCGGGGAAGTGAAATGCTGGGAGGGCCCAGCCTGACAGTAGCCGGAAATAGACAAAAATACCCCAAGCCAGAGCAGCAGAAGAGTGACTCTGATGTACACGAGGGTCCCATCCACTGCCATTATGAAGCTGTCGTTATGGAGCCATCTGTCCAGAGCAGAAGAGGACAAGGTGTGAGGCACTGCTGGTCTGGCTTCTCCCTCTAAGCTGCTCAGGATGCAGGGCTGACCCTGTGGATCTGTGTCCTGGCAGAGTTAGATCAGAACTGCAGTGCTGGAAGTAAAAATAAAAAGATGGGTTGGAAAGGTGATAAGTAAGGAATCAGGAGAGAAAAAGAATGAAGTAGTGAAAAACTGGTTGATGAATCAAGAAAATGCTTTGGATTTGCTTTTAGTAAATGAGGGTGGGGATTTAGGGGGTATAGAGGAGACAACATTGGCCACGTGGTGATAATAGTTGAAGTTGGAAGATGGGTACTTAAATAGTTATCTCAGTCTTTACAGGCAGTATGGAATGTCCATAATAAAAAGTAAAAGCAAAAGTAAAGAAACTTAAGAGTAGGGTGACTCTATATATCAAATTGTCCAAGATAATATTAGTTTATGCCTGTTGCCCTTGCAATATCTATTGATAGTGTCTCCTTTGACTATCAAAACTGGAGACATCAAAAATAATCACAATTCTGTGTCAAGTTGCATCAGTCTTATGATATACTTTAGTTTCTTTATCTCAAAGTTATTTACTATTCCTCATTGTATTCATCTTTACTCATAACTTCATTAGACTGAAAGATTCTTGACTGCAGGGTTTATGATTTTCGTTCATTTTAGTATCCTCTGTAATGCCTCATATAGCTCTATGTACAATGAAAAATGGAAAAACGGAGGAGGGATTGCAAAATGTCTTGGATTATAAGTGAATGCTACTAAAATGTGTTCATATTGTAGTATAATTTTTAGAAAAGAAAATTCATGAAACACTGACATCATTTAAGGGTATGGAGAGAATAATGTTGTTCTCTCCAGTTAGCTACAGGAGAGTCCCAAAGACAAAACGAAATGCTTTCAGAAGAGAAAATGAGAATCTATGCAGTTTAAAGGTCTTCCGAAAAGGAACTCTTTTCTTATTAGGGCAAAAACCATTGTAGAGTCTAGTATTTTAGGATCGCCAGGGAAGAGTCTGAGTGTTTGCTCAAATATATTTACCAACAGTTTTTGAAAGTGGGGAATTTCTGCACCTGTCATACAGTCTGGCTGGCAACACTTATCCATTTCTTTTTCTATTTATTAAACAAGTCTTTATGTGTTTGGAGCATACAAAGTGCAGGACATTGTGCTAGATATTAGAGAAAGAAAATCAAAATACAGAGCATTAAATAAATTATCAATTTAGTGCAGAAACTGTGGCAGGAGCAAGAATAAGCTTTAGGAGGTCAGTAATATTGTATTCAATATTTTATGTATTTCATGACTTTTTTTGCTGAGGAGAGTATCCATATATTTCATCATAGTCTCAAATGACTGTCAAAAGTGAGGCTAGTAAGCACTGAGCATGTGTAGAAACAAACAAAAAACAGATAATTATAATATAATATGATCAAAACCAGACAAAGTTTATGCTTCAGGGATCCTCACTGTACAGACCTCTATAAAGACCCTGTAAGGGGCTCAGCAATGGACTTTATGAAAGTCATATAATTATGAGTAATCAAAATTAGTCACTATACAAGAAAAATCTCAAACACCCTGAAATATTACATCGCATACATAAAAGACTTAATAGAGGTTTTCTAAAATTTGACAATAGTAAATTTAATTATTTATCTCATTACCAATAACAAGCTGTGAAGCTGAATTTTCTTTTCTAAACTATTAATAATACAAAATGAATTTTTATTAAACATACTAGGGAAAGGCAAATGCCTTTCAGTTCTTGCCGTAGAAATTATAACAAAATAATTCTCTTAAGGGAGGTAATTAAATAAGCAATTTAAAAACTATAGGGAAAAGGTATCATAAAAGTGAGTTAGGAAGTTGATTAATGTAATACTGAGGGGATTAAATTTTGTGATGTTTATGGTGTTTTCAACCTTTTAATATTTATAATTTGTTGCAGCTTCTTTCTTATGCTAAATAAATCCTCATTTTCATACTTATTTTCTGCAATTGTAACTTGGTATTATTTTTCTTAAAGTGGGCCCCTCATCTTGTACGTGCATCAGGCCCAAAAACTTAATTTCACCTCTGACTGTGATCAACATATTGATGAAGGTAGGTGCTATTTCTTATAAGAACAAAAAGGAAAAGCACTTAAATCAAGCTAATCTAAGAGGACTTACACAGAAGATATAAAAATGAACATGCCTGACCCAACACCAATCATCTCCTGGATTTTGAATCCATTTCTAATCAATGCTTTCTTTGCCCTGATTCAAGTTTCCTTATATTCTCTTCTTATACCTTCCCTTGTGCTTTCTGGAGTCTTCCTTTAAAGACAAAAGGAGAGAGAGAGAGAACCAACTCCATCCTGTACCTCTTCACAGAAAGCTCCCTACATCTACTTACCGTATTGAACCTGAGCTTTAATAGAATTTACTGCTTGCCTAAAGGCTTCCTCTTGAGAAACTCCATCCTCAGAAGTCACATGCACCACAAGGACCAGAGTTCCTGTTCTCCACAGCCCACAACATGAACACCAAATCATTTATCCTGCAATATCTGACTACACTATTTTTAGATGTCTCTTCAACCACCCTTATCACACTTGGACAAA
Organism: Homo sapiens; assembly: GCF_000001405.40. Lineage (NCBI taxonomy): Eukaryota > Metazoa > Chordata > Mammalia > Primates > Hominidae > Homo > Homo sapiens. Next base: position 70,454,849 of record NC_000014.9, on the reverse strand, counting down.
ATTCAAAGGCTCTGGCCTCTGACTGATAAAATTATTCTCCACCAAAATTCCTACCCTCAACTTAAAGTAATATTAGCAAGTATATAGAAAACCCATCTGAAAACAAGACAGGGTTTTTTAAAGTTTTTTTTAACCTCTTCAATTCATCTTCAGTGTAATTCAGCCCACCCACTCATAGTCATAATGTATACCTTGTCAACACACAAAAAATTTCATATATCCTAATCAATTTACCAACAATTTTAGTTCTCCCAGCTCTCCCCCTTACTTCTGCTATACCTGTTTCTCAAACCCAAAGAAAACCCAAATACTTTTCTTTCATCATCCCCCATTTCTCTTAATGTTCTTGTCTTCCAATCCATTCAGCTCTGCTACCAGTTTCATCCCTTCAAGCACTGTATGCCAAAATCTTTGACTCTAGAGAGTCCTAAATGTGACAGAGATTGTCGGGGAATGGGGGGTGGGCAGGAACTGCATTAATTCTTCACATACTTCCTCCACTCCTACATCAAAGCTACTAATGCTGCTCTGAAAAAAAAAAAATCCCAAAACCAATGTGTTTGTGAAAGGCTTAAAAAGAGAATATAGAAATCAAAACTGAAATGGCTTGTCCTGGATCCCCAGCCTAAGGAATAGAGATATAAAATCCAGTAGATATTTCAAAACTTCCTATGCCATATTGCTCTTTTCTTTATTCTCCTGGATATTGCATTTGCACCTCCTCAATCTTCTGAGTTTTCCTCATTTATGTATAGTGCCAGCAGCTGAAAATCCATTCTCATTGTCTCTCAATCACAGTAGAATTAGTTAACCAAGTACCTTTCCTTTCTAATATAAAGTATTTAAGGTTTTTTTCCTTTTCTTGTCCTAGACTGGCTATGTGGATGCTGGAAGATGGGGAAAACTTGTTTCAAGCTGAACATTATCCTTGCCATTAACTTGCTTAAAGAGGCTGGATTCATCTGGGCAGTTTTCACTGCTGCAAGTTAGGCACCTTATTCCACAAGGTGCAAGTAGCATGGAAGAGAAAAGCAAAGTTCATAGGCAAAACTTCCAAGAACAAAGATCTCTGAATTGGGATGAAATTCTAACTGCCAGATTTGCTCTCTATATCTCTCTTGATATGTTTTCTACTTACTATGGAGTGACAGTTGTTGTGGATGGGAGGATTGAAAATGGGAAGAACTAATCAAAGATATAATGTTGTGGAAAGGACTGATAAGCTACACCAACCTGTGTCATATTATTCTTTTTCTTGGAGCTCAGCATGAGAGCAGGCAATAACAGGAGAATAACTTTAAAAAAATCTTTAAAACCAGACTCATTGTCTTCATTCCTAGGACTTACAGAGACCAAAGCTCCTGAAGTACCATCATTCTACCATGGATACTGTGAAGTGGTACCACCGTAAATCCATGTCCTCTAATGTCAGCGGACTATCAGGTGAGCCAACAGCCCTCTTCTGCATGTTTGATAAACTCTTCCTTTCCCCACAGCTATTTCAAATTCATCAAGACCGCTCTCTACCCATCTTCCCTCTTATTCCAATGCCCTAATGCACTGTTTTCCTATCTGTCTGTCACTAATATCTGTCCCATTAGAGTCATGGAAGTAATTCAGCTGGCTATAGCCTGCAGTCTTTTTCCTTGAGGAAATAGAACAGAAATATCAGAAGGCATCCCTAGAAGATCCTTAGCAACCTTGCACACACAGTGCCAAATATGTGGGGTGTAAGTGTGTGTAAAGCCACAATGTCATAATATAAAGTGGATTTCTTTCTCTGGAATATGATACACACACACACACACACACACGCCAAATTCAAAGATAAAATGGTTTCTGGGCCTTTCACCATCTGAATCTGCCTATATCCACCTCTTCTCTACCTTACTACCTCTCTAGTCTCATTAGCCCCTCATGGTTCCAGATCATCTCTCCCACCTACTTGAGGACTGTTTCTATTAATTTTCCCTATTCTCAACTGCATCTTCATCTTCTACTACTTTATCTATTCCTTACTGGCAATTGAGGTGACTACCTCATCCTGATTTTCCCAGGACTGTCCTGGTTTTAAAACTGAAAGTGCTGCACCCAGCAATCCCCTCAGTCTCAACCAAACTGGAATGGTTGGTCACCCTACCTACATCCATGCTCAAGTCACTCATATCTTTAAAAATGAAAACACGCCGGGCGCGGTGGCTCACGCCTGTAATACCAGCACTTTGGGAGGCCGAGGAGGGCGGATCACGAGGTCAGGAGATCGAGACCATCCTGGCTAACATGGTGAAACCCCGTTTCTACTAAAAATACAAAAAAATCAGCCAGGCGTGGTGGCGGGCACCTGCAGTCCCAGCTACTCAGGAGGCTGAGGGAGGAGAATGGTGTGAACCCAGGAGGCAGAGCTTGCAGTCAGCTGAGATCGCGCCACTGCACTCCAGCCTGGGCGACAGAGTGAGACTCCATCTCAAAACAAACAAACAAACAAAAAAAATGAAAACAAAACAAAAATTAAGAGACTTCACATTATCCAGTGGACTACTCTGGATACCAAATTATGCATAGAACCAAACTTTATGAATGACTTACCATCAGAAGAAACAGTAGTTTCCATGGCCATTTCTGTCTAGATGGTTTATACCATGCTTTATCAATGGTTTGTAGCTGAGGCCACAGAACAAAGGGAAACATAAGCCCTCTCCCTTTTGTCTCTCAGGTGACTAAATTCTAGATTTAGCTACTTAGCAACAAGGAACTTTCAATTCTACAGAAATAATAATAGGCTCTGAAGAATATCTTGCTCTCATCCTGCCATTTCTATACTCACTTCCGAATTTAATACAATTGGAATTGGGTTGTCTCCTCACCTCCAGTCTATGTCCCCTGACAGCACAGGTTTGTAATTTTGCTGGTGTCATTGCATTGGTCTAGACTGTCTAATCACTTTTCCCATTGAACTGAATTATAGTAACTTTATAGGGCAAGATCAAATTCCACTTCCATTATCAAATCTTTCCTAAATAATCCAGAAAACATTAACATCCTGTAACTCTCTTTATAACTTTAATATGCAATACATTTTTGTGTGACAAAATTTATATCCTTGCTATTTTCTGTTTCATACGTGAGTTTTAAAAATTGCATCTCCTATTAGACTATAATGTTTTGGAGAAAAGTATGCTCAAAATGATTGGTGGAGAATTTATGGTATAGTGTTTGGTAAAATATATAATCAATAAGATGAGTTCAATTTATAAAAACTACATAGGATAAAGACTAATTTAATAAAATATTAACTCTAACTTTGGGAATTTCTGTTATAGATTTTTGTCAACTCCTAATTTACCTGGTAGAATCAGAGCCTCATGGGATAACCATCAATTAGAAGCAGTTTTAATTACAGACCCCTTCCATTTCCTGCCAGGAAAAGATTCTACTATTTATGCTGGTTTCTTTAGAAATCTGACAAGGTTCCTTTTGATAAACTGTTTTGCTCATACATGCAAAACTGGAGACACCTCTGCCTTAGGAGGGGTAGATACAAAGAGGTTTGTCTTCCGCTGGACTCAGTGGATAACATCTACTTCTATACCAGACATCATTTACAATGAGGTATACATAGCCCCAAAAAATTAGAGTAGAGGAAACCACATACATTCAATCATGGAAAAAGCTTAGTAGCAAGCCAGTAGCACTAGTAAGCAGAGCGAAGAAACTCTACGCAGGGAGAAAGATAATTGAGGAAGAATAGAATGCCTGCTTCAGGCAGAACAAATAGTAACCTGCAAGATCCATAGGTGGGAAAAGAATGAAACCTTCCCAAAGGAGCTTGGCTTGATCTCTCTAGCTGTAAGAAGGAGTAAATTTATTTCTTCTTCTTCTTTTTCTTTTTCTTTTTTTTTTTTGACAGGGTCTCACTCTGTCACCCGGGCTGGAGTGCAGCTGTTTTTTGTTTGTTTGTTTGTTTGTATCTTTTATAGAGATAGGGTTTGTCCATGTTGGTCAGGCTGGTCTCAAACTCCTGGGCTCAAGTGATCTGGCCTCCCAAATTGCTAGGATTACAGGCACCCGGACAACATTTATTTCTTTGTGGAATCAGCACTAAGAACTTCTGGTTCCAGAAAAGATAGAGTAGACACATTTCTTCCTATTATTCCTAGTAAGTATAGTAAGTCCTCAATGTCATGAATAGGTTCTTGGAAACTGCAACTTTAGGTGAAACAATGTACAGTAGGTCCTGAAATAACATTGTTTTGTCCAATGTGTTTCATTATAACACTGATGAGACAAATAAAAATTTGTTTTGTTGTATGTTACTTTGCACTGTTAAAGTCACAGTTTCTGAGAACCTATTGCTGATGTGAGGACTTACTGTGCAAGTAAAAACACTGTATTTTAAATAGAAAACAAACATAAGAAGGTTAAGAAAGGTAGAGAAAATCATGCAGAGAAGGTACCTACCCTGGGATCTAAGGAATAACATGGTGGTGAATCCCTGAGTTTTCTTTTAACCTCAAGCAATCTGGAGAAGCCTATAACATTTTAATGCCAACAGACATAGAACAAAAAGACTCAAGAAGTTTGCTGTCTGTAGCCAAAGGACTCAGAAATGAGCAGTCTGGCGAGACAGAAAACTTTTAGAAAATAACCATCCTTCTCCACCCAAATGTCATGGGAAAACTTGTATCCCCACATGCACTTCATCAGCAAAAGCCACATGGGGAGCTTAAACTTTCAAATCTTCCCAGCTGTAACGTGGCATCCCCTCCCCCACCCCACTCACTGGGGTGGTGTCAGAGAAGGTCAAGTTGAGTTCTGAGACTTTCCTCCTTGTCATGCAGTAAATGAGGCCCTGATATAGTTTGAATGTTTGTTCCCTCAAAATCTAATGTTAAAACATGATCCCCAATGTTACAAGTGAGGTGTGATAGAAGGTGTTTGGCTGGATCCCTCATATATGGCTTGGTGCTGTCCTTGCAGGAATGAGTGAGTTCTTACTCTATGAGTTCACATGAGAGCTGGTTGCCTAGCCAAGCTCTAGGAACAGGGCCACCACCCTTCAGACCCCTGAATGATAGAGCCACCAGCAGCTTGTACCCTTAGCCTAAAAACACTGCAGGCACTCAATACCAATCTGTGAGGGCAGCCACAGGCGCTGCACCCTGCAAAGCCGCAGGGGCAGAGCTGCCCAAGGCCTTGGGGAGCCCACCCCTTGCACTAGTGTGGGCTGAATACAGGACATGGAGTCAAGGATTATTTTAAAGCTTTAAGGTTTAATGTCTGCCCTGCTGGGCTTCAGACTTGCATGGGGCCTGTTGCCCCATTTTCTTTTGGCCAATTTATCCCTTTTGGAATGAAAATGTTTGACAAATGCCTGTGCCACCATTTAATCCTACAGGCACATAGGTGGAAGAAACCTGCCTTGAGTATCAGATGAGACTTTGGACTTTGGACTTTTAATTGAATTGATGCTAAAATGAATTCAGACTTTAGGGGACTACTGAAAAGGGATAATTGTGTTTTGCAATGTGAAAAAAAAAACATGAAATTTGGGGTCCTGGGAAAAAATGATATAGTTTGGATGTTTTTACCCTCCAAGTCTGATGTTAAAATATAATCCCCAGTGTTAGAGGTGGGGCCTAGTGGGACACGTTTGGAGCATGGGGGTGAGTCCTTCATGAATACATTGGTGGTGTCCTCATGGTAATGAATGAGTTATTCCTCTATGAGTTCATGTGAGATCTGGTTGTTTAAAAGAGCCTGGCACCTCCTCCCTCTCTCACTTTTTTCCTCTCTCACCATGTGACACACTGGCTCCCCTTTGCCCTTTGCCTTCAGTCATGATTGTAAGCCTCCTGAGAACCTCGCCAGGAGCAGATACAAGCACTAGGCTTCTTGTACAGCCTGCAGAACCATGAGCCAAATAAACCACTTTTCTTTATAAATTACCCAGTCTCAGGTTGCTTCATAGCAACACAAAACAAACACTGGCTCCTATTTCACAATGTCAGTGGAGGTCACTTGGACAGCTGTAATGAGGCATCTTTCAACTTCCCAGCTAAGATGGCGTCAACAGAGGCCTAGAGAGGAGGATGAACTTTTCCATTTGAACAGCAGATGTGAGCTGCCCTTTACCCCTGGCATATCAACAGAAATTAAGTGGAGAACCTGGAAAGATGCCAGCGTTTAGCAACAGCAAAGTAATGCCATTCTTACCCTACTGGTGCAACATCATAAGGATCCTGATAAAAGAAAAAATTTAATAAGATCTAGGGCCTCACAACATAACACCCAAAGTGTTCAGAATACAGTGGAGGCCAGGCGCAGTGGCTCACGCCTGTAATCCCAGCACGTTGGAAGTCCAAGGTGGGCGGATCATGAGGTCAGGAGTTTGAGACCAGCCTGGCCAATATGGTGAAACCATGTCTCTACTAAAAAAAACAAAAAATACAAAATTAGCCAAGCATGGTGGTGTGCGCCTGTAATCTTAGCTAATAGGGAGGCTGAGGCAGGAGAATCACTTGAATCCTGGAGGTGGAGGTTGCAGTGAGCCGAGATCATGCCACTGCACTCCAGCCTGGGCGACAGAGCAAGACTCCATCTCAAAACAATACAAAAAACAGAATACAATGAAAAATCACTAGTTATTTATAAAACCAGGAAAATCTTAACTTGAATGACAAAAAGACAACAGATGCTGACTCTGAGATGATGCAGATGTTAGTATTATCTGATAAGGATTTTGAGACAGACATCATGAACTGCTTCAATGAGCAATTACAAATCTGACTAAAATGAAAAAAATAGAGACTTGGAACAAAAAAATGAGAAAGTCTCAGGAAAGAAATATAAAATATAAAGATGAAAGTAATAGAAATTTTAGAACTGGAAACTACAATAACCAAATCCAAACTCACTGGATGGGCTCAACAGCAGGACAGAGAATAGAGAAAATTATCAGCAAACTTGAACATAGAGAAATAGTTAATACCAAACCTTTTGTTAGATTTATACCTAAGTATGTCATTTTTGGGAGGTGTTAATATAAATGGTTATATTCCAAAGAGATCAAATCAGATCTGTACAAAACTGTTTATTGTGGGATAATGTGTACTACCAAAGGTTTGTGCACAATTCTAATTCCATCATTAGAAAGCTATTAGGTAAACAGCAATGCTTCTACATCATGAATAATATGCAGTCATAAATGAAAAAGGATTATCTCTTTACATTAATATTCAGTGATTTCCAGGGTCAGTAAGCTTAAAAAACAAGATTAAGAGAAGTATATATGGCATACTACATTTTGTGTTAGGAAGGAGAAAAAGGAGAATTCTGAGAAGATGACAATGTTGAGACTTCGATCCATCTATTAGGGAAGATAGAGCTGACAGATGCAGGAGGCAGATAAGGGAACCTGCCCAGGGTCTTGCCTGGGCATGCTCACAATGAACTGGGGGCCTGTATGTTCACTGGGAGAATGGGGTGGAGCCACCAGGAATTCACACCTTATGCTGGGGGAGGGGCCCGGCCTCTTCAGCTTGTGTGAAGTGGTCTGGTCTTCAATCTGTGAGGTGGTAGCATGTTGGCAGGACCACTTCTTTCTTTGCTGAGCTTTCTTTTTGCCTAATAGATCTACCCTCCTCATCCTTCAATTTGTCCACGTGCCTAATTTTTCCTGGTTGTGAGACAGAAACCTGGATTTTAGCTGAACTAAGGAGCAAAAAATCCTGCATCATTTGGTAGCCTGTAGAGGGACATGAGGAGGGGTGAGTAAAGTGCGGACCCAAAAATCTCCTTCCCTTTCATTTCTGAGCCTTTTTGTCCTCACACTAAGTCTGAGGGTAGAGGAAACTGCTCCCCCGCCCCCCAACACCCATCACTCTTGGGGGTCAGGAACTTTGGCCCTGGTCCAAGCCAGTCTTTTCTATGGCATTTTCCTTCTTTTTGGGGGAACTGTAATGGCATCTATCATTTCTTTTACAATATTGGGGATGTTTCACCCCCACCCCAGTGGCCTCAGGTACACGTACAGGATTGACAGGTGAGCAGTTGCTCCCCGCCCCTCTTCCCTTTTGGCTGGGGCACATGGCTGTGTCTGCTGCATGTGCGTGCCAAACACACACACACAGGCCAACAGCCACGCAGGGCAAAAATGAACCACAGCCACTACCCAGGCCCCAAGGCACCTCAGGGTCCCATGCCCTGCACAAACAGCTGGCCAGCGTTCCCCACCACATACCCCTGGCGTCTTCCCCTCCCCTGGCCAAGGGGTCCAGCTCAGTCCAAACCCCAGGGAAGAAATAGCAATTAAAAGTTTCTCTCCCAGTTGAAGAAACTCATTTGCATAAGAATAAGAGGTTTCTTCCCCAGGCATCTTTTTCTTTTCTCCATTTTTCAGCAATTAACACAGCGTTGTATTTAGGTTTTTTTTTTTTCCTTTCTCCACCAGGTCAGAAGTTAACTTTTATGTGAGAGGCATTTTTTTTCCTTTTAGAAGACGTTTTACTAGGTTGGGACCCCAATTCACAAGACACCCTTTTCTATCCCTTGTTGGAGGAAGACTCAAATTCACAGCTTCACCTTAGCATTCTGCTTATAAGGAGTTCATGCAACCCAACCCCCCAGAAACATTTTTGTCCCAAATTCAATTCCAAGTTCAGGAACTCAAAGGCTACTGACAGCAGGGGAGATAGGGCATACGTGGGTAAGAGAGGATGATCCCACCCCCTAGACCCCTCTGTTAACATGGGTGAAAGCTGCTTTGATACCCATGGGTGGCAACCTGTTGTGATTGCCAGAACTCAGAAATATAAGGATGGAGTAAAGAAAGAGACATGCTTTGCTTTCTCTACCTCATGTACCATGGGTATTCGCTAGGAAAAGAAGGGAACTGGGGACACCTTGCTCCTCTCTTTCTAGATGAGTAGCCATTCATCTTCCATCTGTACCTCTTTGAATGCATCCTGAGTCCTGGGTCTCCTTTGAAAAAATGCCGTATTTTTCCTTTTTCCTCCTCTGTCCTCTGTTCACAGATGGAAGGTTGTGTCCCCATGCTGCAGGACACTCCCCTCAGATGTAGCCTCCAAACTGGGAAAAGTTAACTTCCCAAGCTTTAAACTAGTTGTCTTGGGATTGAGCTCAGTGGGGAGGGAACACAGAAGCCTGACATGCTGGCAAAAGGGGCCTGACATGCTGGCAAAAGGGTAAGAGTGGTTTTTTTATTTTACCAGTTGAGCTTTTGGCCCCACTCTCCTGTGCAAACTGGTAAAGGGAATGATAAGGATCACTGTTTATATTCTCTGTAAAGTTTGTAGAGTTTTAATTATAAAAAAGGATTCATGAGGTTGGTCTTAAGCTGTAGCCAATCTGGTGTGCTTTGCATGCTTCTCTATATGGTTCTGTAAGAAAGAGGGGTACCTTAGGTTGGGATGTGGGCCTAGGACTCTATAGGCCTTCTACTCAAGCCAGCCTGGAAAACTGGTCAGTGGCAAACTTTGCTGAAGGCCTCCATCATATTTTATGTACTTGGAAGGATGACCTTTAACCATGTGGCAGTGCTTTGTTTTAGCCTCTGCCATTTTACAATGGTGGCCCAGGTTCAATCCCGGCTTAGGGAATGAGTTCTTTCTGGTTCGATATCTGTGACCTTTACCATTTGTTGATTCTCTTCCCCTCCATGAACTACCTTGAATTTTCCTTTCTGTGAGCACCTGGGAAGTTACCTTTCATAAAGTTCAAAAGCTAGAAATATTGGCTGCTTGGCATGGCTAAAGTTGCATAATAAGGGATTTAAAAGGACTTTCTTAAAGAGTGCTTATCTTAACTAAAAGTGGATATCCAAGTTATAGGTATATTTAAAACGCCTTTATGTTTTTCTCTTCTTGGATCTTGTTTTGTTGGAAAAAGGTTTTTTTTTTCTCAGACAGCTGAATTCTTTTTCTCCCTTAAGGCATGCATGAGAGGCCCTAAAATAATTTCTGATGGCCTGGGGCTGCTTGGGCAAAACAGAAAAGGTGCCACAGATTCCATTTTGGGAGAGACCTCTGTTTTCCTCACGGAGCCCCAGGAATTGGAGGCAGATGAATCCCTCTCAAAATCTGATTTTGTCTTCCAGCTATACCTGTTTTTTAGGCCCTAGAAACTGCATGCTTTCCTAGCCATGCTCTCAAAGGGCCCACTCAGAGGTGAACAGTCCAATTAAGAGATTGCAGAACAGAAAATCTGATAACTACTGGATCTGCTTCTGCTTGTCTGTGTAGTTACATAGGTGTAGTGTGTGATGTCTATTTTAAAAAAGAGCTCTAATTAATTGACTTGAAGGATAAGCACTAGGATCAAATATTTTTGAAGAAAAAATAAACACTGTAATGCCTTTTAGTTCATGTGACTTTAATCATCAAGAAATAAAAAAAGACTTATGGATTCTGAACCCCAAAAATTTGAGACAGGTCTCAGTTAATTTAGAAAGTTTATCTTGCCACGGTTGAGGATGTGGCCATGACACAGCCTCAGGAGGTCCTGAAGACATGTGCCCAAGGTGATTGGGGCACAGCTTGGTTTTATACATTTTAGGGACACATGAGACATCAATCAATATATGCAAGAAGTACATCAGTTCCATCCAGAAAGGTGGAGACAATTCAAAGTAAGGCCCCCCCAACTGGGGGCTTCCACGTCACAGGTAGGTGAGAGATAGATGGTTGCATTTTTTTGAGTTTCTGTTAAGTATTTCCAAAGGAAGCAATCAGAATATGCATCTATCTCTGTGAGCAGAAAGATGACTTTGAATAGAATGGGAGGCAGATTTGCCCTGAGTGGTTCCCAGCTTGAGGGGGCCAAGATATTTTCCTTTCACATTTCCCCCCTTTTCTTTTTAAAAATCTTTTGGAGAAAGTATTTTACAAGGAAATGAGTCTCTGGTCTTGTTTCATCTGATCTCTCGTGGCTAGGATGGTTTATTTCTAGATGTGTAGGTTGCAATAGCTCATTTTTAGCAGGTTGTATAAAGTCTCATGTCCTGTGAAGAGAAAATAGTGGTGTGATGGTTAATACTGAGTGTGAACTTGATTGGATTGAAGGATACAAAGAATTGATCCTGGGTGTGTTTGTGAGGTTTTTGCCAAAGGAGATTAACATTTGACTCAGTGAGCTGGGAAAGGCAGATTGGGTGGGCACAATCTAATTAGCTGCCAGCACAGCTAGAATATAAGCAGGCAGAAAAATGTGAAACGAGAGACTGGCCTGGTCTCCATCCTCCCGTGCTGGATGCTTCCTGCCCTTGACTATCAGACTCCAGGTTCTTCAGTTCTACAACTTGGACTGGCTCTCTTTGCCCCTCAGCCTGCTGATGACCTTGTGATCATGTGAGTTAATGAAGCAGAAAATGTAAAAAGAAAAATAAGTAAAGGGAAAAACAAGTTTTCCTGTACTTGGCTAACTCACTCCAAGGCCAGCAATAGGCAGAGCCCTAGTGGGGCCTTGATAATACTATCTGAAAAGCCAGAGCCCAAAGGAATGAGCTCCAGAGATTCTCCCAACACCTTCCCCACCCAGAGCAAGAATAAGAAAAACAAGTTCTTCTTATCAGTTTCCCCCTTTGAAATTCTTTTCCTATACCATTATCCTTTGATCTCTTCTCACAACTACTTTTGTAACTATTTCTGCAAGTTTGCAAGGATTTTGTAAGTTCCTGTTTTCCAGCTGTGCAGTATGGCAATGGTCACAAGACATGCCTGAGTTGTAAAACCTGTCACTGTTCGATAAACTGCCTTTGTTCTGCTTCTGTAAGCTTGCTTACCCACCTTACAGGTTTTGCACCCTTTTCAGATGTATATATAAAAGTCAAGCCCTGTCTTTGTTTGGTGCTCAGCCTTTGGATATGAATCCGCTGAGTTGGTGGCCACCTAATAAAATCCTCCTGTTCCAACCATTGGTCTCTCTCATCTCCTGATTCCTGCAACATTTTGGTGAGCCAGGCAGGGGTGGAGACAACAGGTTTGCTGTCTCCTTTGCCTGTGGGTCTAGGCCCCTGGGCTGGGGGAGAACCGTGACCTCACGTGCCACTGGGGGAACTCAAACCCAGAGAAGGAAGCAGCTCTCCCATGACTTGGTGCCCCTCCCTGACATGGTGTTAATCCTTACCATCCCGCAGGCTGAGGAATGGAGACTATACACAAAAAAGACACAGGCACCAGACCTGCCTCATATGCTGGGGATAGAGGAATTGTTTGGGTTACTTACTAAAATTCCTGGAGTACGGGCTGAAGATAACCCTCTGGGATGGCTGTAAATTAGGCACTGGTAGTAGTAGAATTAAAACCAGGAGCAACTCCGGTTCGGGTTCACCAGTACCCACTCCCCTGAGAAGCCATTTGGGGCATTTACAACCACTTAAAGTGGCTCTATGATCCTGGAATCTTAGTCCAATACCAGTCACCCTGGAACACTCCACTTACCAGTACAAAAACCAGGGTCTGGTGAATATAGGCTGGCGCAAGATTTACATGCTGTAAACCAGACTACAGTGACCATCCCTCCAGTGGTACCAAACCTGTATACTTTAATGGGACTCATTGCGGCAAGTGCTGCTTGGTTTACTTGCCTAGACTTAAAAGATGGCTTTTTCTGCCTTTGCCTAGCACCAAGTAGTCAGCCCCTCTTTGCATTTCAATGGGATGATTCAGTCACAGGCACAGGGGAGCAACTCACCTGGACTAAGCTCCCACAAGGATTCAAAAACTCTCCCACAATTTTTGAGGAAGCATTGGCCTCAGACCTCAAGGCCTACACCCTGCCAAATAATAACTGTGCCTTGCTCCAATATATAGATGATATCCTTTTAGCAGCCCCAACCCATGAGGACTGTTACCAAGGAACCCAAGACTTCCTCTACCTCCTATGGAAAGCTGGTTATAAAGTATCCAGAAAGAAAGCCCAAATTTGCCAGGAAAGGGTTAAATATTTAGGCTTCCTAGTGAGTCAAGGGGAATGCCAGCTCAGCAATGAACAAAAGCAGCCTGTTTGTGCACTCCCAACTCCAACAACTTGGCACCAAATAAGAGAATTCTTCGGGGCAGCAGGGCTCTGCCGTATCTGGATCCCAAATTTCTCACTAATGGCCAAGCCCTTGTATGAAGCCACAAAGTTGGGGGGAAAGGAACCCCTCCTCTGGGAGGCTGACCAGGAGAAGGCGTTTAAACAAATTAAAAAAGTCTTAACCCAGGTCCCAGCCTTAGGACTGCCAGATATAACTAAGACTTTCTTTCTATATGTCCATGAATGAAAGGGAATAGCTATAGGGGTCCTGACTCAAGTCATGGGATCATGGCATCGCCTGGTGGCACACTTATCCAAACAATTGGACTCTGTGGTGCTAGAATGGCCTCCTTGCCTCAGGGCACTAGCTGCCACTGCCCTATTGGCACAAGAAGCTGACAAAATGACTCTAGGGCAGCAACTAACCATCCAGGTACCACACTTGGTTATAACGTTAATGGATCAGAGACGGCACCATTGGTTATCGAATCCGAGGATGACTCAGTACCAGGGGCTCCTACGTGAAAATCCCCACATAACTTTGGAAACAGTAAACATCCTTAACCTGGCTACCCTGCTCCCAATCGAATGGGGATCCCCCTCCATGACTGTGTGGAAACAGTAGACGAGGTGTTCTCAAGCCAGGGAGACCTTACAGACCAACCCCTCAGGGACCCAGATGTTGAATACTTTACAGATGGAAGCACTTTTATGCTGGAGGGGGTCCGCCAAGCTGGGTATGCAGTAGTAACACTGGACTCAGTGACAGAGGCTCAACCTTTGCCTACAGAAACTTCCACTCAGAAGGCAGAGCTAATAGACCTGACAAGAGCTCTTTTGCTGGCAAAAGACAAAAAAGTCAATGTTTATACAGATTCCAAGTATGCCTTTGCCACATTGCGTGTTCATGGAGCTATATATAAGGAGAGAGGACTAATAACTGCTGGGGAAAAATAAATAAAGTACAAAGAGGAAGTTTTACAGCTCTTAGATGCTGTATGGGCCCCAAAGAAGTAGCTGTTATGCACTGTATGGGGGCACCAGAGGTCCAGGACACTAGAGGCCAAAGGAAACAGAAAGGCAGACAGGGAAGCAAAACAGGCTGCAGTGACAACTTTGCATCCTGGAGAGGAAGCCCTGGCTATGCCTCCTCTCCCAGAACCTCCCCTCCTGGAGGTCTCAAGTTACTCTCCAAATGAGAAGGCCTGGTTTGCCCAAGAATCCGGAAAATATATTGAGGTAGGATGGTGGAAATTCTCTGATGGGAGACTAGCCATTCCTGAAATGGTGGCTTCCAAATTTGTAAGACAATTCCATCAAGGAACTCACATGGAGAAAACAGCACTAGAAATGTTACTGGGACACCATTTCTATGTGCTGCGGCTCACTGCCATCACCCAAGCTGTTTGTGAACAATGTCTAACTTGTGCCCAGAACAACCCATGACAGGGGCCCACTCGGCCCCCAGGGATTCAGGAAATGGGAGCCACACTCTGTGAAAACCTGCTTATGGACTTCACTGAGCTGCCCCGAGCAGGGGACTATCGGTACATGTTAGTACTCATCTGCACCTTTTCAGGATGGATTGAGGCTTTCCCCACCAGAATAGAGAAAACATGAGAAGTGACTAAAGTACTGTTAAGAGACATTATCCCAGGTTTGGACTGCCCCTAACTCTAGGGTCAGACAATGGACCGGCATTTTTAGCCACAATAGTTCAAAAACTAACACAGCTGTTAAAAGTAAGATAGAAATTACACACAGCCTACCAGCCACAGAGCTCAGGCAAAGTGGAGCACATGAACCAGACACTCAAACAGCCACTGAAGAAATATTGCCAAGAGACCCATCTAAGGTGGGATCAGGTCCTACCCATGGTCCTCCTCCGAGTCAGGTGCACCCTTACCAAACAACTGGGTATTCACCCTATGAAATCTTGTTCAGCCAGCCACCCCCAATCATAGGTCAAATTAAGGGTGATCTCCGGGAGCTAAGGGACTTAACCTTAAGAAAGCAAATGCAGGGCTTAGGGATAGCCATGCAAGATGTCTATGGCTGGGTACGGGAAAGAATGCCCATAAGCCTGGCAGACCCAGCACACCCCTTTAAACCCGGGGACTCTGTTTGGGTCAAGAAATTGAATCCAACCACTTTGGGACCCCTATGGGATGGGCCCCATACTGTAATCTTGTCCACTCCCACTGCTGTTAGAGTTGCAGGAATTGTGCCTTGGATCCACCCCAGTTGGCAGAAACCAGCAGTCCAAGACAAGTGGACCAGCCAACAGGACCCAGACCATCCAACCCGGCTAATCCTATGATGGGACTGAGTTGCCATTAAGGATGGTGACAGCCCTGCTCTGGTCACTCCAGAAGCTGACCAGTCTACACATGGCTGAAGCTTGAGGAGACAACAGCCATGCTCTAGTTACCCTGGAAGCTTACTAGTCTATGCACGGCTGAAGCTTAAGTTGTCATCAGGGAAGTAATGTGGCTAGAGATCTTAAGCCTAGTAATTTTCCTTATAATATTAATTGTTATACTGTTGTTCTGTTGCTTTGCTCAACCTCCTCCACTGGGTAAAAACCTCTTTTGTCCTTGCTGGGTATAAAGATGCTGCTCTTTTCTTTGTTCCTACTCCTCCCCATCAGGGCACTCCCTTTACCTGTGCCAGGGGATGGGCCCATAGAAGGGTGCCCCCACTGTACTCACACCACACGGTCGGGGAGCACAGTAACTAGAACGCTGTTACATCACACTTACTGTAAATGTACAGGGACTCGCCGAGGAACTTGTATTCACAATCAGACGACCTACTTAGTCTGTGACCTGGGAAATGACCAGCCTTATATATGTTATTATGCTAATTCCTCACCTTATGAGTCCATCCGGTTTGAGGCCTATGTCAGGCAAAAGAAGGGAACCTTCTAACCCTAACCCAAAAGGTCCCTCCCTCCTACAGGGGGCCTATTTCCTTGTATTTTGATGACTGCCAAGCTGCATACATCAGCTACTCTTATCCTGTAGTTTCTTGTGACGGCCTATCATGGGAAAGATACTATAGTAACTGTCACAAGTATATATGCGCACCAAGGAGAGGAAGCTTTCAGGAGAAGACCCCTCTTTGCTCCCTGAGGTCTCTGGAAGCAGACTGTCAGGCCAGCACGATGTGGTCCATTGACCCTGTAGAAAGTCAGGGACGACCACAGGAGACCGTCAGGCTTACCAAAATGCCAGCAAAACCATATTGTAAGACAAGAACCTGCAATCCTTTAAATTTTACCATCTTGGAGCCAAATCTGCCCATATGGACTACAGGTTACCCCATGACATTATGGATCAGTGGTCAGGGAACTGACCCAGGAGTCTATTTATATATTATAAAGAAAACTCAGACCCATTCAACCCAATAATTCTGAGTTTTTGAGTCATTCTGTGAGCACATCCACCAGGAGTTGCCTGAACCTTCTACCTTGGCCAGACACCTCTTTCCCCAACTAGCTGAAAATATAGCTAGCAGCTTGCACGACTCCTCATGTTACATCTGTGGGGGAACCAACATGAGAGATCAATGGCCATAGGAAGCAAGGGAGCTAATGCCCCAAGATAACTTTACTCTGAATGTCCCCTCCCCCAAACCAACGCTCACAAGCCCGAGCGTCTGGCTCTTAAAAACTTCTATTGTTGGGAGACTCTGCATTGCTCACTGGGGAAAAGCCTTTACAGACCCGGTAGGAGAATTAACTTGCCTGGGACAACAATATTCCAATGAAACAGTAGGGAAAACTTTATGGTGGGACGGGAAATATAATTCTGCATTGCCCCACCCAAGCCCATCCAGTTTCCCTTCCTTAAACAACTCTTGGTACCAACTTAATGTTCCAAATATCTGGCAGGCACCCTCTAGCCTCTATTGGATCTGTGGACTGCAGGCATATCGGCAGCTGCCAGCTAAATGGACAGGAGCTTGTGTACTAGGAACAATTAGAACGTCCTTCTTCCTAATCCCT
The DNA here is from genome assembly GCF_000001405.40 of Homo sapiens. Classification (NCBI taxonomy): domain Eukaryota; kingdom Metazoa; phylum Chordata; class Mammalia; order Primates; family Hominidae; genus Homo; species Homo sapiens. Next base: position 70,437,805 of record NC_000014.9, on the reverse strand, counting down.
CTAAAGCAGGGAGAAGCCTCAGGTACCCTGTTTATGATGAAACTAAAAGGAGAAATAAAAGGGGCATAGCCATAGGGAATTGGAAGGATAATGAATGGCCCCCTGAGAGAATAATCCAACATTATGGCCCGGCCACCTGGGCAGAAGATGGAATGTATGGATACCACACCCCTTTTACATGCCCAACCACATCATAAGGTTGCAGGCAGTGCTTGAAATCATTACTAATGACACTGCAAGAGCCTTAAATCTGCTGGCCAAGCAAGCCACAAAAATGAGACACGCTATTTATCAAAATAGATTGGCCTTAGACCACCTCCTAGCCCAGGAGGGAGGGGTATGTGGAAAGTTCAATCTAATTGTTGCCTAGAAATTGATGACAATGGAAAAGTCATTGAAGATATAACTGTAAAAATCCAAAAATTAGCCCATGTTTCAGTCCAGATGTGGAGGGGATGGTCTCCAGACTCCCTCTTCGGGGGCTGGTTTTCATCCCTCGGAGGATTCAGGACCTTAGTAGGAATAGTTCTGGCCATATTAGGAGGTTGCTTAATACTCCCTTGTCTCTTACCCCTCCTTGTCAAAAACATCCAATCAGCAATAGAGGCTCTTCTAACAAGCCAAACTACTCAGCTAATGGCTCTAACCAAATAGCAGCCCTTGCCAAGTAAGAACTAACTCCCCATGAAGAATTAAAATTTGATGATGATGCTTTCTATTAAACTTCATTTATAGGAAGCACCAAAGCGGGGAATGAAGCAGAAAACGTAAAAAGAAAATTAAGTAAAAGGAAAAACAACTTTTCCTGTACTTGGCTGACTACCTCCAAGGCCAGCAATAGGCAGAGCCCTAGCAGGGCCTTGATAAAACTATCTGAAAAGCCAGAGCCCAAAGGAACGTGCTCCAGAGACTCTCCCAACACCCCCCCAACCCCGAGCAAGGATAAGAAAAACAAATGCTTTTTATCAGTTCCCCCTTTGAAATTCTTTCCCTATACAATTATCCTTTGATCTGCTCTTACAACTACTTTTGTAACTATTTCTGCAAGTCTGCAAGGATTTTGTAAGCTCCTGTTTTCCAGCTGTGCAGTATGGCAATGGTCACAAGACATGCCTGAGTTGTAAAACCTGTCACTGTTTGATAAACTGCCTTTGTTCTCCTTCTGTAAGCTTGCTTACCCACCTTACAGGTTTTGTGCCCTTTTCAGATGTATGTATAAAAGTCAAGCCCGGTCTTTGTTTGGTGTTTAGCCTTTGGATATGAATCTGTTGAATTGGTGGCCGCCTAAAAAAATCCTCCTCTTCCACACATTGGTCTCTCTGGTTTCCTGATTCCCACAACATTAATACTTAATAAACTCCTATCTATCTATCTATCTATCTGTATGTATGTATGTATTCCATTAGTTCTGTCCCCCTGACTAATACAGATTTTGGTACCAGGAGTGATTCTAGAGGAACAGAATATTAAGGATGGAGTTCTTTTGTTGGTTTTGGGGTTTCTGTGGTTGGTTGCTTAATATGATTAGACCCAAAAATGCTAAGGACTCTACTTCTGATAGTATGGAGAACACTGATAGTACTTGGCATGAACTGTTTAGAGAGTTAGGCAAAATAAGTGCATTTGACACCCTGATTCATTGCTCGTGAGAGGCAAGGAGTTTAGTGACTCAATACATAATACCTTTGACCATATGTGGAGAACAAGGGAACATAATGAAACTGGTTGGTTGCTCCTAAGTCTAGCAGACAAAGTGATGAAAGAAAATGATGAACTCAGGGATTTTATCTCCTGGCCTCAGAGGCAGATGCTGAGCCTCAAATCTGCTAAGATTGCCCTGAGTGACAGTTTTATCTCCTGTAGAGAAAGAGCTGAAATTATGGAAAAACAGAGACAAGCTCTTATCATGTGAGTGGCTGACCTGGAACAAAAGTTGCATACCCAGCCTTGTCAGGTGTCTATTGTTAAAGTGAGGACATTGATTGAAAAAGAATGAGACCCTGCATCTTGGAATGGGGATGTGAAGGAGGACCCTGATGAAGCTGGGGACACTGAGTTTGTAAACTCTGATGAGACTTTCTTTTTTTGCCAGAAGAAACAGCTACCCTATCCCCAGTAGCAGCAGCATCGCCTCCCTGACCCATGCTGCAATCAGCATTTCCACCTTTGTCTGAGGAGATAAACCCTGTGCTGCCTGAGGCAATAGTGATGGCCTCCCCTGAGGCAATCACCAGGCAAGATAATGTTTATTCTCCTCAAGAGCCACTCCCAATGCCCCTGTTTGCTTCTAGACCTATAAGTAGACTAAACTGGCAGGTACCTAGAGGTGAGACTGAGAGTGTGACCCATGAGGAAGTGTGTGACACTTGAAAAGAACTGCTTGAGTTTTCTAATTTACATAAACAGAAATCTAAATAACAGGCATGGGAATGGATATTAATGGTGTGGGATAATGGTGGAAGGAATATAGTGTTGAATCAGGCTGTATTTATTGATCTGGGCCCTCTAACTAGTACTCTGCATTTAATGTTGCAGCTTGGGGAGTTAAAAAAGGGTATGATCAGTTTTTTTTTTGGTTACCTGAAATATGGATTTAAAGATGGCCCACTATGAGTGAACTGGAAATGCCTGATCTCCCTTGATTTAATGTAGAGGAAAGGATCTGAAGGCTTAGGGATATTGGGATGGTGGACTGGATTAGTCACTTTAGACCTACTCATCCCAGCTGGGAGGATCCAGAAGATATAACCTTGACCAATGTCTTGAGAAATAGATTTGTGAGGGCAGCACCTGCATCTTTGAAGAGCCCTGTAATTGCTCTTCTCTGTATGTCAGATCTAACCATGGGAACTGCAGTCACTCAACTACAAAATTTATATACAATGGGAATAATTGGATCCCAAAGTGGCAGAGGCCAAGTGGCAGCACTCAACCATCAAAGTCAAGATGGGCCTAGCTATTGTAATGGACAGCAGAGGCAAAGCAGCAATCAGAATAGTGTGACTTGTGTAGACCTCTGGCATTGGCTAATTAATCATGGTGTTCCTAGAAGTGAAATTGATAGGAAGCCTACTGCATTTCTACTTAATTTATACAAGCAGAAAACTTCTAGGTCAAATGGACAAAAGACTAATTCGAATGATAAAAACAGAGAATCACAGCCCCTCAATCAATTTCCAGACTTGAGCCAGTTTACAGACCCAGAACCCCTTGAATGAAGGGGAGGCTGAGTCCCCTTGAGGAAGGACCCCACTACATCACCAACAATTTATGCAGTTAATCTTTCTCCCATCCTTCCCCAAGGAGATCTCCAAATCCAGCCTTTTACCAGGGTAACTGTGCACTGGGGAAAGGGAAAATGATCAGACATTTCGGGGACTACTGGACACTGGCTCGAGCAGGTCCTGAAGGCACAAGTAAGTTACATGAGGAAGTGGCTCAAATGCCCATGGTCTCCACTCCTGCCACCCTGCCTCCTCTCCCGCAGCCTGCACCGACGGCCTCATGGGAAATTCCCTATGATCAGTTGACAGAGGAAGAGGAGACTACGTAGGGCCTGTTGACAGATGGTTCTGCACGATATCCAGGTACCACCCAAAAATGGACAGCTGTAGCACTGCAGTCCCTTTCTAGGACTTCCCTGGAGGACAGCAGTGAAAAGGAGTCTTCCCAGTGGGCAGAACTTTGAGCAGTGCACCTGGTTGTGCACTTTACATGGAAGGAGAAATGGCCAGATGTGCAATTATATACTGATTCATGGGCTGTAGCAATGGTTTCTCTGGATGGTCAGGGACTTCGAAGAAGCATGGCAGAAAAATTGGTGACAAAGAAATTTGGGAAAGAGGTACGTGGACAGACCTCTCTGAGTGGTCAAAACTGTGAGGACATTTGTATCCCATGTGAGTGCTCACCAACGAGTGACCTCGGCAGAGGAGGAAGAGGAGGATTTTAATAATCAAGTGGATAGGATAACCCATTCTGTGGACACCACTTGGCCTCTTTCCCCAGCCACTCCTGTCATTGCCCAATAAGCCCATGAACAAAGTGGCCATGGTGGCAGGGAAGGAGGTTATGTATGGGCTCAGCAACATGGACTTCCACTTACCAAGGCTGCTCTGGCTATGGCCACTGCTGAGTGCCCAATTTGCCACCAGCAGAGACCAACACTGAGCCCTCAATATGGCACCATTCCTCGGGGTGATCAGCCAGCTACCTGGTGGCAGGTTAATTATATTGGACCTCTTTCATCATGGAAAGAGCAGAGGTTTGTCCTCACTAGAATAGACACTTTCTCCAGATATGGGTTTGCCTATCCTGCATGCAATGCTTCTGCCAAGACTACCATCAGTGGATTCATGGAATGCCTTATCCACCATCATGGTATTCCATACAGCATTGCCTCTGACCAAGGCACTCACTTTATGGCTAAAGAAGTGGTGGCGTAGTTTCATGCTCATGGAATTCACTGGTCTTACCATGTTCTCCATCATCCTGAAGCAGCTGGATTGATAGTAAAATGGTCTTTTGAAGTCACAATTACAACACCTACTAGGTGACAGGACTTTGCAAGCTTTGGGCAAAGTTCTCCAGAAGGCCGTGTATGCTCTGAGTCAGCATCCAATATATGGTACTGTTTCTCCTATAGCCAGGATTCACTGGTCCAGGAATCAAGGGGTGGAAGTGGAAGTGGCACCACTCACCATCCATCACCCCAGTGATCCACTAGCAAAATTTTTGCTTCCTGTTCCTACGACATTACATTCTGCTGGCCTAGAGGTCTTAGTTCAAGAGGGAGGAATGCTGCCACCAGGAGACACAACAATTCCATTAAACTGGAAGTTAAGATTGCCACCTGGACACTTTGGACTCCTCCTACCTTTAAGTCAACAGGCTAAGAAGAAAATTACTGTGTTAGCTGGCATGATTGACCTGGACTATCAAGATGAAATCAGTCTACTAACACACAATGAAGGGAAGGAAGAGTATGCATAGAATACAGGAGATCCATTAGGGCATCTCTTAGTATTACCATGCCCTGTGATTCAGGTCAATGGGAAACTACAACAGCCCAATCCAGGCAGGACCACAGATAGCCCAGACTCTTCAGGAATGAAGGCTTGGGTCATTCCACTAGGAAAAAAAACGCGACCTGCTGAGGTGCTTGCTGAAGGCAAAAGGAATACTGAATGGGTAGTGGTAGAAGGAAGTCATCAGTACCAGTTACGATCATGTGATCAGCTATAGAAATGAGGACTGTAATCGTCATGAGTATTTCCTCCTTCTTTGTTAAAAACATGTTTGTGCATGTATACACTTGTACTAAGAAAACATCTTCAGTTTATTTCCTTTCTCCTTTATCTTGTGACATAAGATTTATTGACTTCATATCAGCATTTAAGTATTGTTAACATTATATAATAGTATTTGGGTATGGGATTGGTGCGTTTCCGGTTGTACGAAGAATAGTTGTGTTATGTTAGGGGTAACTATGACCTTACTATTGTCTTTATTTGAAGATTATGTATGATCTCAGGAGTTGTATATGGGTTCAAGTTGACAAGGGGTGGTCTTCTTATCGTTAATACCGAGTGTCAACTTGATTGGATTGAAGGATGCAAAGTATTAATCCTGGGTGTGTCTGTGAGGGTGTTACCAAATAAGATTAACATATGACTCAGTGGGTTGGGAAAGGCACACCCATCCTTAATCTGGGTGGGCACAATCTGATCAGTTGCCAGCATTGATAGAATATAAACAGGCAGGAAAATGTGAAAAGAGAGACTGGCCTAGCCTCCCAGGCCACACCTTTCTCCACTGCTGGATGCTTCCTGCCCTTGAACACTAGCCAGACTAATAAACAAGAAAAGAGAAAAGAATCAATAAATAAACTAGAAAATCTAGATGAAATGGATAAATTCCTGGAATTTATCCCCTCCCAAGACTAAACCAGGAAGAAGTAGAATTCCTGAATAGATCAATAAAAAGTTCTGTAATTGAGGCAGTATTTAACAGCCTATCAAGCAAGAAAAGCCCAGGGCCAGACGGATTCACAGCTGAATTTTACCAGAGGTACAAAGAGGAGCTGGTACCATTCCTTCTGAAACCATTCCAAACAATAGAAAAAGAGGAACTCCTCCCTAACTCATTTTATGAGGCCAGCATCAACCTGATACCAAAACGTGGCATAGATGCAACAAAAAGAAAATTTCAGTCCTGATGAACATCGATGCAAAAATCCTCAATAAAATACTGGCAAACAGAATCCAGAAGCACATCAAAAAGCTTATCCACCATGATCAAGTCAGCTTCATCCCTGGAATGCAAGGCTGGTTCAACATACACAAATCAATAAACGTAAATCCATCATATAAACAGAACCAGTGACGAAAACCACATGATTATCTCAATAAATGCAGAAAAGGCCTTCGATAACATTCAACACACCTTCAAAAACACTCAGTAAACTAGGCATTGATGGAACATATCTCAAAATAATAAGAGCTATTTATGACAAATCCATAGCCAATATCATACTGAAAGGGCAAAAGCTGGAAGCATTCCCTTTGAAAACTGGCACAAGACAAGGATGCCCTCATCACAACTCCTATTCAAGATATTATTGTAAGTTCTGGCCAGGGCAATTAGGCAAAAGAAAGAAATAAAGGGTATTCAATAGGAAGAGAGGAAATCAAATTGTCTCTGTTTGCAGATGACATGATTGTATACTTAGAAAACCCCATAGTCTTAGCCCAAAAACTCCTAAGCTGATAAGCAACTTCAGCAAAGTCTCAGGATACAAAATCTGTGTGCAAAAATCACAAGCATTCCTATATACCAATAATAGACAAACAGAGAGAGCCAAATCATGAGTGAACTCCCATTCACAATTGCTACAAAGAAAATAAAATACCTGGGAATACAACTTACAAGGGACATGAAGGACCTCTTCAAGGAGAACTACAAACCACTGCTCAAGTAAATAAGAGAAGACACAAACAAATGGAAAAAAATTCCATGCTCATGGATACGAAGAATCAATATCACAAAAATGGCCATGCTGCCAAAGTAATTTATAGATTCAATCTATTCCCATCAAGCTACCATTGACTTTCTTCACAGAAATAGAAAAAGCTACCTTAAATTTCATATGGAACGAAAAAAGAGCCCATATAGCCAAGAATCCTAAGCAAAAAAAAAAAAAAAAAAAGCTGGAGGCATCATGCTACCCAAGTTCAAACTATTCTACAAGGCTACAATAACCAAAACAGCATGGTACTGGTACAAAAACAGATATATAGACCAATGGAATAGAACAGAGGCTTCAGAAATAATATCACACATCTACAACCATCTGATCTTAGACAAACCTGCCAGAAACAAGCAATGGGGAAGGATTCCCAATTTAATAAATGGTGCTGGGAAAACTGGCTAGCCATATGCAGAAAACGGAAACTGGACCCCTTCCTTACACTGTATACAAAAATTAACTCAAGATGGATTAAAGACTTAAATGTAAAACCTAAAACCAGAAAAACCCTAGAAGAAAACCTAGGCAGTACCATTCAGGACATAGACATGGCAAAGACTTCATGATTAAAACACCAAAGAAATTGCAACAAAAGGCAAAATTGAAAAATGGGATCTAATCAAACTAAAGAGCTTCTGCTCAGCGAAAGAAAATATCATCAGAGTGAACAAGCAACCTGAAGAATGGGAGAAAATTTCTGCAATCTATCCATCTGAAAAAGGCCTCATATCCAGAATCTACAAGGAACTAAAGACATTTCTAAGAAAAAAATAACCCCATCAAAATGTGGGTGAAGGATATAAACAGACACATCTCAAAAGAAGACATTTATGAGGCTAACAAACATGAAAAAAAGCTCATCATCACTGGTCATTAGAGAAATGAAAATCAAAACCACAAAAAAATCAATACCACCTCACACCAGTTAGAATGGTGATCATTAAAAAGTCTGGAAACAATAGATGCTGGAGAGGATGTAGAGAAATGTGATTGCTTTTACACTGTTGGTAGGAGTATAAATTAGTTCAACCATTGTGGAAAACAGTGTGGCAATTCCTCAAGGATCTAGAAGCAGAAATACCATTTGACACAGCAATCCCATTACTGGGTATATATCCAAAGGATTATAAATCATTCTACTATAAAGACACATGCACACATATGTTTACTGCAGCACTATTCACAATAGCAAAGACTTGAAATCAACCCAAATGCCCATCAATGATAGACTGGAAACAGAAAATGTGGCACATATACACCATGGAATACTATGCAGCCATAAGAAAGAATGAGTTCATATTCTTTGCAGGAACATGGATGAAGCTGGAAACCATCATCCTCAGCAAACTAGCACAAGAACAGAAAACCAAACACTGCATGTTCTCAATCATAAGTGGAAGTTGAACAATGAGAACACAGGGAGGGGAACATCACACACTGGGGCCTGTTGGGTGGTTGCGGGTAAGGGGAGGGAGGGCATTAGGACAAATACCTAATGCATGCTGGGCTTAAAATCTAGATGATCGGTTAATAGGAGCAGCAAACCACCATGGCACATGTATACCTATGTAAAAAACCTGCACATTCTGCACATATATCCCAGAACTGAAAGTAAAATAAAAATTAGAAAAATTAAAACTTTCAGGAAAAAAAATCAAAAAGTAACAGATGCTGGTGAGGTTGTGGAGAAAAGGTAACCCTTATACACTGTTGGTGGGAGTGTGAATTAGTTCAACTATTGTGGTAAACAGTATGGCGGTTCCTCACAGAGCTAAAAGCAGAACCACCATTCAACTCAGCAGTCCCATTACTGAGTATATATCCAGAGGAATGTAAAGCATTCTACCATAAAGACACATGCACGTGAATGTTCATTGCAGCACTGTTCACAATAGCAAAGACATAGAATCAAGCTAAATGCCCATTAGTGACAGACTGGATAAATAAAATGTGGCACATATACCCCATGGAATATTTTGCGCCAGAAAAAAAGAATGAGATCGTGTCTTTTGTGGGAACATAGATGGAGCTGGAGGCTATCATCCTTTGCAAACCAACGCAGGAACGGAAAACCAAATACCATGTGTTTTCACTTATAAGTGGAAGCTAAATGATAAGAACTTATGAACACAAAGAAGGAAACAACAGACACTGGGGAATACTTGACGGGGGAGGCTGGGAGAGAGAGGAGCAGAAAAGATAACTATTGGGTCCTGGGCTTAATACCTGAGTGATGTAATAATATGTACAACAAACCCCCGTGACACGTGTATCGGTGTAACAAACGTACACATGTACCCCCAAACCTAAAATTAAAACTAAAAAAAAAAAAAAAAGAAACAAGATTCCAAATTCATATTCTGAGGCTAGCCTAATCCTGATAATACAACTTCATAGTAAAGCATATGTTATGTGCTCTCATTTTAGCCTCTCCACCAGAGAAGTTAACATGCTGGATCAGATTAATACGGTCTTGGGTGCATAGGATGCAACCAATGAACTGAAAATGTGTTATTTTCTATTCTGATAATAAAAGAGCCATCAGAAAAAAATCTGCACTCATATAGCGTGGACACAAATATTTATTTATAGGCTTGCCTCCAGGGCTATGTTATTTCACCTGCCTCTGGCATAATATAATCTGAGGAAATCTAGACTGTTTGAACATACAGAAAACCTTATACGGATTCACTTCATTGAGTATCATGCTGATGGGGCTGCATTGTTGGTTCACTGGAGGTCTTATTAAGAGATATGCATTCCAGGGGTAGGAAAGATTTGGGGACATGATACTTTATTAGAGTATTTAAGGGTACAGTGGTTAAAACCATGGTGGGATATACCCTTGAAGTAAAGGCAAATTGCCGCATTTTGCATTCCCTAGCACAAAGAAAAAGGTGGTGCCTGCTATATGCCTCCATGGGTTGTTGAAGCAAACATTTCACACCTATGAATACTACTCTGGCCCATACACTAGACAATAATGAAGTGATCATCTTTGAGTAGGGCCCAAAACAAGAAATGACCTTGCTGTGGGTCCAGGTTGTTATGTGAAGGAGTTAAGGATATGCCACCCCAAAATATGCCAAATTGGCATATTGATTATTTCAAGCTGAAAGCACTTCAAAAACTGCATTTGCAGTAACAGCCATTTGACCTGCTGTTTTCCACATGTAGCAAACCATAAAATTTCCATATAGACCAGGAGGTCAAGACCAGCCTGGCCAACATGGCAAAACCCCATCTCTACTAAAAATATAAGAATTCCTTTGGGAGGCCGAGGTGGGTGGATCACTTGAGGTCTGGAGTTCAAGACCAGCATGGCCAACATGGTGAAACCCCATCTCTACTAAAAATATAAAAATTATTTTTTATATTTTTATATATAAAACATACAATATAATATTTTATTTAAAACATACATATAAATGTATATAAAAATACAATTAATATTTTATAAAAAATATACAGGCATGGTGGTGCATGTCTGTAATCCCAGCTACTCGGGAGGCTGAGGCAGGAGAATTGGAGAACTGCTTGAGCCTGGAAGGTAGAGGTTGCAGTAAGCCAGGATTGCACCACTGCACTCCAGCCTGGGTGACAGAGTAAGACTCTGTCTCAAAAAAAAAAAAAAAAAAAATTTAGCCAGGTGTGGCAGCACATGCCTATCATCTCAGCTACTCAGGAGGCAGAGGCATGAGAATTGCTTGAGCCTGGGAGGTGGAGGTTGCAGTGAGCTGAGATCACACCACTGTACACCAGCCTGAGTAACAGAGTGAGACTCTGTTGAAAAGAGAAAAAAAAAAGTTCCATAGATGTTGGGAACAGGCCCCCAAATCTGGCCATAAACTGGCCCCAAAACTGGCCATAAGTAAAATCTCTGCAGCACTGTGACATGTTCTTGATGGCCATGACACCCACACTGAAGGTCGTGGATTTACTGGAATGAGGGCAAGGAACACCTGGCCCACCCAGGGTGGAAAACTGCTTAAAGGCGTTCCTAAACCACAAACAATGGCATGAGCAATCTGTGCCTTAAGGACATGTTCCTGCTGCAGATAACTAGCCAGAGCCCATCCCTTTGTTTCGGCCCATCCCTTTGTTTCCCGTAAGGAATACTTTTAGTTAATCTATAATATATAGAAATAATGCTTATCACTGGCTTGCTGTCAATAAATATGTGGGTCAAACTCTGCTTGGGGCTCTCAGCTCTGAAGGCTGTGAATCCCCTGATTTCCCACTCCACATGCTGTATTTGTGTGTGTGTCTTTAATTCCTCCAGCACCACTGGGTTAGGGTCTCCACGACTGAGCTGGTCTCAGCACATAGAGGAAGATGGTTTTCCTGTACTAGGACAAGACAGTAACCCTATTACCAGAGACTGGAAATGGTGCTGCAATGGACCTGTACAAATAAACTTAATAACCCTTACCTTCTACTAGGTTTACCCCTCCCCAGTATATCTCCTAGTGACCTTCCTGGAATTACTGCCCTTAGCCTAGATCCTTTTGTCCTGTCATTTCCTCATAGACGTATTGTTCTTCATCTAAAAAAATATAAAAGCTTTCTGTTTTGGCCATTTCTTCAGATCTTCACTCTCTTGTGAGGATCCCCCTGTACATGTAAAAAGTAATAAAACTTGTATCCTTTTCTCCTCTTAATCTATCTTGCATCAATATCATTCCTAGACCCAGTCAGAGATGGGTGGAGGTGATCCGTACATTCCCTACAAATTTTGGTGCCCAACGTGGGGCATCCTTCACTGGCTGGAACACTGCTTGCTCGAAACTGCTGCACCTGAAATCCTGGCCCTCTGACAAAAGGCCAGCAAAGGTAAGAATTCTTAATACTGTCAGTCTGCTGGATCTCTGCCTGTGGAGAATGGTCAAGGTGAGAGTGGTAAGACTCTTTTCTTCCTCTTTCCCTCTCTAAATTTAGACTGGCAGGAGAAAATATTTATGTGAACTAGTTTTGGGGGCAAAGTGACTTTGGTGTTTGTGAGTAGTCTTGTTTTCTATTTGATCTTTTCCCCCCAGAGTTAATCTTTGCTTTCCTTTTGTCTTTTGGGGTAGTTTGTTATAAGGGGGAAAATCATATGAAGATTCTCATTTCATCTTGTTTTATGTCTTGAGAGCTTGGCTTTGTAACCAAGTGAGAAGTTCTCTCTCTCTGGTCTCTGCCACTTGGGGAACATGATTGTCAAGTCATGTCTGGCAGCCAGCCAAAAGGCTGGGAACTTGAGATGCAAAGTGACAAGCAGGACTCTCCTCGTCTGACTGTGCCAGCTCCCAGGGGTGTTTTCTCTTAAGAAGAAGCTCTAATTTATAAGCAGCTTTTGTAATCTCAACCTTTGTTGCTTAGTGCAACATGGAGGTCACACATAATGACCTCCATTGTATGTCCATATATATGTAATTGTATATGTATTACATATATGTACATTCTATACATACGTGTACATTGTATACATATACATATACATACATGTATACACACATATACAACGTATACATACATGTATACATACACATACAATGTATACATACACGTATACATGCATGTATACATACACATACAATGTATACATACACGTATACGTGTATGTATACATACATATACAATGTATACATACACGTATACGTGTATGTATACATACATATACAATGTATACATGCATGTATACATACATATATACATTGCATACATGCATGTATACATACACATTGCATACATGCATGTATACATACACATTGCATACATGCATGTATACATACACATTGCATACATGCATGTATACATACACATTGCATACATGCATGTATACATACACATTGCATACATGCATGTATACATACACATTGCATACATGCATGTATACATACACATTGCATACATGCATGTATACATACACATTGCATACATGCATGTATACATACACGTATACATACACATTGCATACATGCATGTATACATACACATTGCATACATGCATGTATACATACACATTGCATACATGCATGTATACATACACATTGCATACATGCATGTATACATACACATTGCATACATGCATGTATACATACACATTGCATACATGCATGTATACATACACATTGCATACATGCATGTATACATACACATTGCATACATGCATGTATACATACACATTGCATACATGCATGTATACATACACATTGCATACATGCATGTATACATACACATTGCATACATGCATGTATACATACACATTGCATACATGCATGTATACATACACATTGCATACATGCATGTATACATATACATTGCATACATGCATGTATACATATACATTGCATACATGCATGTATACATATACATTGCATACATGCATGTATACATACAAATACATTGCATACATGCATGTATACATACAAATACATTGCATATGTATTACATATATGTGAACATACAATGTATTACATATGTGGACATATGTATATGTATATGTGGGCATATACTTACATGTGTACACTGTATATGTGTATGTATATGTATATATATACACAAAATTGAGCACTGTAATACATATACACATACATTGTATGGGTGTATGTATACACATACATTGTATGGGTATGCGTATACGCATACATTGTATAGGTTTGCATATACACAATGTAGCACACCATAAAAGTTCCATAGAGATCGGAGTTGTGTAATACATATACACAATGGAGTACTATTTTCCTTATCCATTCATCTGCTGATGGACACTAGGTTGCTTCCAAATCTTGGCTATTATGAATAGTGCTGCAATAAACACAGGATTGCAGACATCTCTGATATACTGATTTAATTTCCTTTGGCTAAACACCTACCAGTGGGATTAGTGGATTTTATGGTAACTGTACCTTCAGTTTGTTGAAGAACCTCCAAATTCTTCTCCATAGTGGTTGTACTAATTTACATTCCCACCAAGTTACAAGTGTTCCCTTTCCTCCACATCCTCGCCAGGATTTGTTACTGCCTGTCTTTCGGATAAAAGCCATTTTAACTGGGGTAAAAAGATATCTTATTATAGTTTCCATTTGCTGATGATCGATGATGTTGAGCATCTTTTCTTTTCTTTTTTTTTTTTTTTTTTTTGAGACGGAGTCTCGCTCTGTCGCCCAGGCTGGAGTGCAGTGGCGCGATCTCGGCTCACTGCAAGCTCCGCCTCCCGGGTTCACGCCATTCTCCTGCCTCAGCCTCCCGAGTAACTGGGACTACAGGCGCCCGCTACCACGCCCGGCTAATTTTTTGTATTTTTAGTAGAGATGGGGTTTCACCGTGTTAGCCGGGATGGTCTCGATCTCCTGACCTCGTGATCCGCCCACCTCGGCCTCCCAAAGTGGAGCATCTTTTCATATACCTGTTTGCCATTAGTATGTCTTCTTTTGAGAAAGGTCTAGTCAGATATTTTGTCCATTTTTTAAATTGAAATATTAGATTTTTTCACTATAAAGTTGTTTGAGCTCCTTACATATTCTGGTTATTAATCCCTTGTCATATGAGTGGCTTGAAAATATTTTCTTCCATTCTGTGGGTTGTCTCTTCATTTTGTTGATAGTTTCCTTTGCTTTGCAGAAGGTTTTTAACTCGACGTGATCCCATTTGTCCATTTTTGCTTTGATTGCCTGTGCTTTTGGGGTATGACTCAAGAAGTTTTTGCCCAGAGCAGTGTCCTGTAGAGTTTCCCCCAATATTTTCTTGTAGTAGTTTCATAGTTTGAGGTCCTAGATATGTCTTTAATCCATTTTTTAAATTTTTATGTATGTTGAGAGACAGGGGGTCTAGTTTCATTCTTCTGCATATGGACGTCCAGTTTTCCTAGCACCATTTATTGATGAGACTGTCTTTTCCCCAATGTATGTTCTTGGCACCTTTGTCAAAAAATTAGTCCATTGTAGATGTATGGGTTTATTTCTGGGCTTTCTCTTCTGTTCCACTGGTGTATGTGACTCATTTTGAGCGCATCAGCAATGTCAGTGAGAACAGCTGAGAGGAATTCAGGCAGTAGAACTAGTACACTATTGACTGCAGCAGGTGATGAGACAGCAAATGACAACTGCAGTGTGATCTTTAGCAAGTGACTGAGTTTAAGTTTCATCATCACTAAAATTCATTCATTCATTGAAAGCCTATTATAAGGCCAGACACGATGGCTTATACCCATAATCCCAATCCTTTGCAGGGGCTGAGGCAGGAGGATTGCCTGAGGCCAGGAGTTTTAGATCAGCCTGGGCAATACAGCAAGACCCTATTGCTACAAAAAATAATTTAAAAAAATAAACAAAAAGAAAGCCAAGTTTGTGTTGGCAACTCTTATAGGTACTGGAGATAAAGCAGTGAACAAGAAGCCGTGGGGCAGATGGCACAGCAAATGCAAAGATCTAAACTAAACCAAATGTATTTGTTTGAGAAACAGAAAAAAGTTCAGTGTAGATGTAATGAATGAGGGAAGGGGGTTGTGGTAGTAGACGAGTTAGAGAGCTTGACAAAAGCCAGATTATCTGGTCTTAGAGGCAATGTTAAGGATATCGATTTTTTTCTACATGAGATGGAAATGACTGAAATATTTAGATTGGGGCATGACATGATCTGATTTACATTTTTGTAAGATTGCTCCAGCTGAGGGAAGAATAGATGGGAGATATCGAGTGAGCAGCAGAAAAAACATTCAGGAAGAACAGTAGAAGTAGAGGCAATACATACTGGTGGTTTGTAATAAGCTGGTAGTATCAGAGATGGTCAGATAGACTGTATTTCATACATAGCAACAGCTATACTTTTGATGGGTTGAATGTAGAATGCAAGGGAAAGAATGGAATCAAAAGCTGTTCTTAAGATATTCATATGAACTGAGTAAACTGAGTTACTCAAGGAAGGGGAACAGCTAAGAGAGGTATCAGTTTAGGGGTATAAGGGTTAGAAATTCTCATTTTATCATAATTTAAGATGCCTGCTAGGCATCTAAATTTTGAGATGTTAGGTAGGCAACTGGGTTACACAAGACTGAAGCTCAGTGAAGAGACATGACAGCTGGCATATTAATGGCATTAGAGCCAGGGGTCTGAATTAGACTTCTTATAAAGATAGCATATATATACAGAAGAATAAAGAGTACCAATCAAAAAGGACAATAGAAGATAAAATAATTGTAAATGCCTTGTGGCTATCTGCTGTCATCAATAGCTGGGGTCAGCAGTGCAACTTGCAGCAAGAACTTGAAAATTAAAGCAATAATACTGCTATCAGGTCTAAACTTTAAAATCAACAAGTAATGGGCCAGAGCAGAGATATGCAATGCCAAAGGCTGTGACTTCACTGTAATCTGTGTTATGGGCTGTGTTGTATGCCTGCAAAATTCATCTGCTGAAGTACCTCAGAATGTAACCATATTTGGAGAAAAGGTCTTTAAAGAGGTAAGTAAGTTAAAATGTGGTCATTACGGTGGGCCCTAATCTAATATGAACGATGTCCTTATAAGAAGAGGAAATTTGGAAACAGACATGTGTGCACACAGAGGAAAGACCATGTGAAGACAGAGGTAGAAGATATGGCCATCTGCAAGCCAAGGAAAGAAGCCTCTGAGGAAACCAACTCTACCTGCACCCTGATCTTGGACTTCCAGACTCCACAGCTGTGAAAAAATACATTTTCATTGTTCAAATTACACAATCTGTAGTATTAGTTACAGTAACATTAACAAACTAATATCGTCTGATTAAATGTAATAATAATACAACAAAGAAAAAAGTGTGTCAATCACAAAAGAGTTTTGTCACCTAAGGAAGCATAGAAAAAATAAAATATGCAGGAATTTGAAACT
Organism: Homo sapiens; assembly: GCF_000001405.40. NCBI lineage: Eukaryota > Metazoa > Chordata > Mammalia > Primates > Hominidae > Homo > Homo sapiens. The sequence goes on along the minus strand of NC_000014.9, from coordinate 70,420,928 downwards.
AAATAGGTAAGGGCAAAAAGTTGGAACAAATGCTATGTCAAAGGAGAGGTGGATAAGTCCCAAATACAAACATATTCATGAGTTGGTCATCAAAGAGGCTGATAGAATAAAATACTGAAGTAGGAGGGGACTGAAGCAGACAAGAGAGATTAAAAAGACAAAGTGAATATATGACAGGAAATGTGCAAAAATAGAGCAAGGTGTGATTAAGGTGAGGCAAGGTTTCCACTAATTTTGTAAATGGTAGATTGAAGTTTCCACTACATTCTACATTTTTTACATAACTCAAGGTCATAAGCAGAAAGGTTAGTTCAGACAGAAAGTGTCACTTCTTGTGTCAGAGACTGCCAGTGGCCTCCCAATATCCATTCTCCCACTTTCAGTTAATAATAATAACCTTGATTTTTATGGTTGGCACATTTCTATCCCTGAGATTACAAGAAGTCTATGACATTTCCAGGAGGTCTTCTTTGCCCTTCCTTCATTACCTTCCTGGAATGTAGATATGATGGTTGAAGTTCCAAAATCCATCTTAAGCATCTTGGACCACGAAGTAAAGTCTACACTCCAGGGGTGAGCCACTGCACCCGGCCTGATTCCATAATTTTTCTCAATTGTTTCCTCTGAGTAGGATCTCATTTTCTCTGTCATTTGCTTTCCTACATATTAAAGCTCCCTCATTTTTTTTTTTAATTTATTTACTTTTATTATTTTTTAGTAGAGATGGGGTCTTGCTCTGTTACCCAGGCTAGAGTGCAGTGCTTCAATCACACCTCACTGCAGCCTCAAACCCCTGAGCTCTAATGATCCTCCCGCCTCAGCCTCTAGAGTAACTGGGACTACAGGCATATCACCACGCCCAGCTAGCTTCCTTGTTCTTCCATTGTTACTGGAAAGGGGTCCTGATCCAGACCCCAACAGAGGGTTCTTCAACCTTGTGCAAGAAAGAATTTGGGGCAAGTCCATAGAGTAAAGTGAAAGCAAGTTTATGAAGAAAGTAAAGGAATAAAGAATGGCTGCTCCATAGGCAGAGCAGCCCCGAGGGCTGCTGGTTGGCTATTTTTATGGTTTTTTCTTGATTATATGCTAAACAAGGGGTGGATTATTCATGAGTTTTAGGGGAAATTGGTGGGCTATTCCTGGAACTGAGGGTTCCTTCCCTTTTCAGACCATATAGGGTAACTTCCTGATGTTGCCATGGCATTTGTAAACTGTCATGGCGCTGGCAGGAGTGTCTTTTAGCATGCTAATGCATTATAATTAGCATATCATGAGCAGTGAGGATGACCAGAGGTCACTTTAATCACCACGTTGATTTTAGTGGGTTTTGGCTGGCTTTTTTACCACATTCTTTTATCAGCAAGGTCTTTGTGACCTGTACCTTGTGCTGACCTATCTCATCCTGTGACTTAGAATGCCTAACTTCCTGGGGATGCAGCCCAGTAGGTCTCAGCCTTATTTTACCCAGCCCCTATTCAAGATGGAGTCGCTCCAGTTCAAAAGCCTCTGACACCATTATTCCTATACTTCTATTAGGGAATAAAGGCAATTTACATATCCCATCTCTCACTCTACTTATTACCAGCATTTCCTCAACTTGTTTAGGATACTTTTTTCTTTCACTGCCCTATGTATTTCTTTTGAAGCTGTGTGTTCAGATGAAAAGGACAATTTTCCCAGGTACTGAGAGGTGATTCCCCCACCACCGTCCCCACAGTGGTCTAAAAGAAACCTTGTGTTTTTTTCCTTACAAATCTCCTCATTGATGATTTCTTGATTTTCCCCCCATTTCTATTTGATCTTTTCTCTCTTGACATTCCAATGTCATTTATTTTATTTTATCTATTTATTTTTTGAGATGGAGTCTTGCTCCGTCACCCAGCGTAGAGTGCAGTGGCACGATCTCCACTCACTGCAACCTCCGCCTCCTGGGTTCAAGTGATTCTCCTGCCTCAGCCTCCCATGTAGCTGGGACTACAGGCCTGCGCCACCACGCCCAGCTAATTTTTTTGTATTTTTAGTAGAGATGGGGTTTCACCATGTTGGCCAGGCTGCTCTGGAACTCCTGACCTCAAGTGATCTGCCCACCTTGGCCTCCCAAAGTGCTGGGATTACAGGTGTGAGCCACCCCGCCCAGCCCCCAATGTCATTTATTTATATTACACATTTTTTTAATTTATCATTCTCTGCCTTTTATAATGATCATTTTATTCACTCATCCAACCAACATATGAAGAGCTACTATCAATCCCATTTTAAGATGGGGAAACAGAGTTCAGAGATGTTGGATTCCTTGCTCAAAGACAGACAAGTTTAAGGGAATGGAATGGAAACTTGAGCCCAAGTTGTAAGTCATAATCTGTGTTATTTCCACTATCCCATCTTTTTTTTTTGAGACAAAGTTTCGCTCTTGTTGCCCAGGCTGGAGTGCAATGGTGCAATCTCGGCTCACTGCAACCTCCGCCTCCCGGGTTCAAGCGATTCTTCTGCCTCAGCCCCCCGAGTAGCTGGGATTATAGGTACCTGCAACCACACCGAGCTAATTTTTTGTATATTTAGTGGAGACAGGGTTTCACCATGTTGACCAGGCTGGTCTTGAACTTCTGACCTCAGGTGATCCACCCGCCTCGGCCTCCCAAAGTGCTGGGATTACAGGCGTGAGCCACTGTGCTCAGCCTCCACTATTCCATCTTAACTTCTCTCAGAGTGAGCAAATAAGAGGTCTTCCTGCCGAATCTGCCCCTATCTCCTTCTGTTTGGTAAACATAGTAGCTGCTGCTTTGGTTTTTTACTCTAAATTTAAATGTCTTTACATTGGCCTTGCACTTTCTAGTCCTCTAAGATCCCCACCAATCCCTGTGGTCTAACTCCAGGTTGCTTCACAAGGTTGTCACCTTCCTGGCTCTTTAGGCTTTTGTGTTTTTGACCCCTGAAGTTTCATTCAAGTTCAGTTTGGAATGTCTCATTCCAAAAGTCAGGAAGACTGGCCTAAAGTTATACCTAAGCCATGCGTTAACCTTATTGTAAGAGTTAAAACATTAAAAAGATTGAATTTTCCCAGTTGCCAAAAGAATGAGACATTCCCCCACCCCCCTTTCTTAAAACATTTTCTTGAGCAAATTGTAATTATAATCCGTGTGTAGTGTGTGTGTGTGTGTGTATCTTTTTAAAAGCTAAATAAGCCTCTTGTCAGATAAAACCCAGGAATTGTTTTCGTCAGGTCCCGGGAGCCAACTCCTTGAAATTTAAGTATCAAGGTAGACAGTGCCCCTATGTTCCAGGCTCGCGGGAGTTACCCGAAGCGCCTTGCTCCAAGCCGTAAGTACCTGTTTGTCACAGAGATAACGTTTTATTTTTCCTTTGGATAAAGGCAATTAACCAACACAGGCGGCCACTCCAACGGTGAACTACCAAAAATTGAATACCAAACCATGTTAACTCGTCTTACATGAGAAGATGCGTGTGCTTTGGCTACATAAAATGTGAGATTTTTGTCTCTCTTTGCAATCTCATTAGTGGATTGCCTGTAACACCCATTCCGGTCTGGTTCGATGCTTACAGAATAATACACCTTTTTTTTCTTTTCTACATTTGTGGAGATTTTCTAGGATGGCAGGAGATTTTTTTAAAATTTTTTTTCTCGACAATATCAATTTATTTAGGTCCCTTACTTTTACTAGCCACCCCCTTCCCACTTGCTTCCAATGGCAAATTAGAATGGTAACTTGCCCCTTGCTCACCTCATGCTTGGCTTTGGGAACCGGTGAGAAACTGCAATCCATTGGCGGTAGGAACCACGATTCCCAGCATTCCCAGTGCTCCGAGTCCTTCGGGCTTCCTTTTCCGGGTCTCGAGGCTGCTGAAACCGAAACCGCTGTGCTGTGGGCGCAGCGCCGAGATTGATTCACCTTCACCTGTGCTGCACTCCAGCTGACCCAAGTAGGAAGCCAGACGAGCTGTAAAACATGAACGGAAGAGTGGATTATTTGGTCACTGAGGAAGAGATCAATCTTACCAGAGGGCCCTCAGGTATGTGCGGAAAGGGTCATATCTGACAGTAGGGGATTAGAGGGTGTAATTGCAGACACCTCTGCTGCTGAGCCGGATTCACCTGGCCTCGGGGCGGGCAGGCCACAACCTAGAGGTTTCGTGCAACGCTTCGGGGTGCTTAGAGAAAATATATTGAAATCCATCATTAGCCAGATACGGGTCTGAGGAATCCACCTCAAAATCCAGTTGGATGAACACAAATATATATAGTCAAGAAGGGGTTCTTTGTGCAAATCGTGCTAGAAAAGCCTTTTTAAAAGCCTGCTTTTTTAGCCTGCTTATCGTGGATACCACATCCTTCTTTCCGTTGCCTGTTCTATCCCTCCCCCTATGAGGGACCGTTTAGTAAAATGGGAGCATAAACGGTGTGGACTCTGAATGCATAGCCGTTTTCCTGCAGCTAGGATCCCTCCCTCGCTCCTTTGATTTCTGGGAACTTCATTTACAATGTCAACTAGAATGTTAAAGCAGGAAGAGCCCTTAGAAATCTTTTATTACACAGGTTCCCAAACTTGGTTCCGCCACAAAATTACCCAGGGCTTTAAAAAAAAAAAAAAAAAAGAAAATAAAAAGTTAAATCTTATCTCCCATCTGCAGGGATTTGGATTTAATACAGATTTATTTTATTTATTTATTTATTTTTTATGAACACCTCATGTGATTTTGAGCAGCCAAACTGCTATCCTCTTCCCCCACTGTGGCTCTTCATTAAACCGGGCTCTTGACATTACTACATTCTGCCTGCTTTCGACTTTGTTTACTTTCCTTTACAACTATTTAGTTGATCAATTAAGAGCTCTTTAGCTTTGGAATTACAGTATCTGGGTCTAAATCTTGTATCTAACCTCTTACTGATTCTTGATACTTATTGGCTAACTTAACTGATGTAAGCCTTAGTTTATCATCTCTAAAATGGGGATGGTTATAAATATACTTCATAGTGTTGTGAGAATGAAATGAGTTAATCCATGTAAAATGTTTACAACATTGCTTGACCTATGGTAAACAGTATGTGTTTCCTACTATTGTTACTGTTAATGGATAAATAGCTAAACTGACACAGTAAATCCTACTAATACTGTATTCCAAGAGTCTCTAATAAATCATCAAGTACTCTGAGCTCCATCTCTGAAATGTTCCTGAAATTCTTTCACTCCTGTTTCCCTTGCCACTACCTAGGACAGTCCATCACCTTTTCTCATCTGCAGTTCTGCAGTAGCTTAATCATGGATAGATTATTCTTTATAAAATATAACTTTCAGAATTATCCATACTTTGTGTCTTCTTTTCTTTTCTTTCTTTCTTTTTCTTTTCTTTTTTTTTTTTTTGAGACAGGGTCTCACTCTGTTGCCCAGGCTAGAGTGCAGTGGCACGATCTCAGCCCACTGCAGCCTCTCCCTCTTAGGCTCAAGCAATCCTCCCACCTCAGCCTCCTGAGTAACCGATACCATGGGTGTGCACTGCCACGCCCGGCTAATTTTTTTGTATTTTTGGTAGAGACGATGTTTCACTACGTTGCCCAGGCTGGTCTCATTTAAACTCCTGAGTTTAAATGATCCACCCACCTCTGCCTCCCAAAGTGCTGGGATTACGGGTGTGAGCCACTGTGCCCTGCCTTCCTTTCTATTATTAAAAATTGGAAGTTGGTTTTACTTATCGGAATATAACTCATCACTAATACCATTATTAATATTTTTTTTTTTTTAGAGACGAGGTCTCACTTTGTTGCCCAGGCTGGTCTTGAACTCCTGAACTCAGGCAGTCCTCCTGCCTTGGCCTTCCAAAGTGCTGGGATTACAGTCATGAGCCATCATGCCTGGCCTATCACTAATCTTAATGGATTAGTGTCATGCTCCATATGTGCGCCTAAACTTTTGTCAAAGGCTCATTTGGTATGCCCAAGTTTCTTGGATTCATTTTTTTGCTATTTTATATAAATGTATCCTTCACTCACTGTTAATATTTATTGACTTTTGAGGCTAACATAGAAAGTTACTTTTCAATCAAAATCTGTTTTTTTGTACTTTTCATCCATTGATAACTTGTTCTCTTAGGACCAATTAAAACAATGCTAGTTCCTTTTCTGATTGCTGTGCAAGTATTTATTTAAAGGCTCTAGTTGTTCTGCTCCTGTTTTGCCTCTTTCTTCTTTATCCTAAATATCTTCGGTTATTTTACTACCTCTTGAGATGTTTGAGATTTGATTCTTGCCTTTTGCTTAAGAATTTAATGTACTTTGACATAGTCCTTTTGCTCTGGCATCCAAAGTATTTTCAGATCTCCTGTCTAAAGCAGAGCAGGACCCTGATATTATCTCTTGTTCTAAAGATGAAATCTTTTTAAAATTCAGTATAATATCACTTCATCTTTTTTGGCATTTGTAGTCATAAATTTCCTAGTGTTAGTATTTTCCCAAAACATTGGCATTCGGACAAGCTTCAAGGACTAATTAAAGGGAATAATTATATCTAGCTAATATATTTCACCCAAAAATGGTTTGATTTCTGTATCACATATTTATTACAAATGAATGTATTTATTCACTCAGTGGCTTCCTAAATTTTCATAAGCATTTCCATGTATTAATTATATAAGTCAGTGAACTTACTGGGAGAGTAAAGCCTCAAGTTTAGGAATGAACTTGGGTGAAAACAGTCATTTGAAATTTGGTTGGTTCAGTTAACAAAGAAAGGTTTCAAGTTCATGTTAATCACTTACCAGAACTGGTTTCCTAGTATGTGATACTCTTCTTCTCAGGGTCTAATTCAGCTTTTCTTCATGGTATCATCATGAAGATATATAGGGAGGAGACTGTCTCAAAATACCACTAGAAACTAATCACCACTAGAAACTTCCACATAATTTTGATGGTCCCATAAGGATCTTTCTATCTATGGAAGAAATATGAAAATCCTCTAAGTATGCATTTCTTTTGTAGGCAGCATTGCCCACTCTTTGTGTTTGTATAGCTGTGTACTCAGGAACCTGATGTTTAATCAGATCCGAGAACATGTGTACCATTCCCCCTTTGTGTTCTGTCAGGGACAAGAATTGTGGATATTTCCAGTGTTTGGGCCCATATTATAAGGCAGTCGAACCTGTTCCTGACTGATCTGCTTACTGCAAGGGAAGTAATGAAATCTTGGGGAAATTATGACAACAGAGTGAAGAGGCAAAAGAAGCTTGACATGTATTAGGTTGGTGCAAAAGTACAATTACTTTCTTTTGTTCTTCTTTTTTTTGAGACGCGTCTCACTCTGTCACCAGGGTGGAGTGCAGTGGCACGATCTTGTCTCACTGCAACCTCTGCCTCCCAGGTTCAAGCAATTCACCTGCCTCAGCCTCCTGTGTAGCTGGGATTACAGGCATTTGCCACCATGCCCGGGTAATTTTTGTATTTTTAGTAGAGACAGGGTTTCACCACGTTGACCAGGCTGGTCTTAAACTCCTGACCTCAAGTGATCCACCTGCCTTGGCCTCCCAAAGTTTTGGGATTACAGGCGTGAGCCACCCCGCCCAGCCATAAGTACCACTACTTTCAATGGCAGAACCGCAATTACTTTTGCACCAACCTAATAGCATGGAATCTCTCCTGTTGTCTGCTTTCTCAACTGTAAGAAGGGACTTGGGCTAGATGACTTCAGAGGTCTCTTCCATCTCTAAGAGTTCATTCTTTGGCTCATTTTATGATTATTTATGTTATTTTATGTTTCCTACCATTTGGAACTTCGTTTTGTTTTTATTTCCTGCCATTTTAGACTAATAGTATGAGCTGAAGAATTACAAAGGCAGTGGCTACAATCTCAAATGTCTTCAAGGGTTGAACAGTTTACCTTTTATCTTTAGTGGAATCTTGTTTTTTTCTACAGGAGTCCAGCTTGATTATAGTATCTAAGGCTCTCACTTTTTCTTTATCAAATTGAAAGTCTCTTAATGCGTCTCAAAACTCAGTTACTCTAAAAAGTGTGACAAGACTGTTTAATATGTTTTTTTGCACTGCAACAGGTAAGAGATTGGCCATAAAGACAACCTTACTGTACATTGAGTACTATGATTAGGAATCTTGTTTTTAGGTCCGAGTCCTCAATGGGTTTCAGCAAGTTACTCCTGATATGCCATCTTTAAAGAGGGAAGAGAATATTTATTTTCTTACTTTCTTTAAAGGCCTTGGAAAAGATGATGGGTTGATGGCAGTGTTTTAATAATGAATACTAAAGGAGGTATTGTCTTTCCGGTAGTGTGCTAGTTACTATATATACATATATATACTGTATATATACTATACATACATATATATACTGTATATATACTATACATACATATATATACTGTATATATACTATACATACATATATACTGTATATATACTGTATATATACTATACATACATATATATACTGTATATATACTATACATACATACATACTCATTTAATCTTCACAGCAACCCTGAGTAATAAATATTTAATCCACATTATTAGATTGGGAAATTGCCTTGGGGAGGTTAAGGACTTGCCCAGTTTCTAATGCCAGTAAATTTCAAAGGATTTTTAACCCAGGTGTGTTAATTCTGCTATACCATATACTACTTTCCACTGCAGTAGCCATGTTTAAGAAGTTGACTGCCAACCTTTCCCCTGACCTTTATTTTATTATATCATGCCTTATTCCCAGAAGCATTTGAGGCATCTTAAATGACTAATACAACCTACAGTGGAAAGTTTTTATTGCTTGCTCTTGATAGAGCTGAGGGCATATCAAGGTGAGTACCTAAAATCAAGATGCCCCATTAAGTTCTATCATTTAAGCCTTGTAGACCTGTCATAGGCTTTGGGTTTCATGCTAACTGAAACTGTTGCTAGCAGTTTTCTGATCTATTCCTTTCTTCACATATCAAATAGATGTGAGGCTAAATGCTATATCCTTGCCCTATTTTCTCTTGCTTACACAAAGTCTCGCCTTCATGGAGTTTACAATCCAATAGAGATATGATGTTCACATATGAAAAATTAAATCTCACTGCAAAGGTGCAGATAGTTAAGGAAAATGATGAGGAGGTAGTTAGTGGGAGGGCAAAGGAAGTGCGGAAAGGAGCATGGTAATCTGACCCTGTGTTGGGAAAGTTCAAGAATGCAGACACTGCTGAGAACCATTAAAATGGTCAATTAAAAGAACGTGGAACTTGTGGGTCTTCTGGAATGGACAGGCTTTAGGCTAGGGCCAGAGTCAGGGATGAGTATGGCCTAAGCAATAATAGAGAGAAGAAAATAAGCAGAGCATATTCTGAGGTTAGTGAGTAAACCAGCCTGGACAGAAGGAAAGTTTCCTTTAGGAGATTCAAGAGAGAAGAGGTAGCTGAGTAGTAACCTGAGTAGGTGGAGATCAGATTATGGAGTCTTTAGTGTTAGTATGGAAACTTAATCTTTCTCTAAAGTTCTATCTGGATTCTTTCTACTTCCTAGCCATTGATTAGGACTCAGTTCAACAGTTAGCTCCTCCAGGAAGCAGGCTTTACCTAGGATAGATGTTCTCTTATTGTCTATATTATACATCATTTACAGATTGCCTGTAATGTATTCCCATGTATTGCCAAGCTAAGCACTGTATCTTGTCCCCTTGTAAAAAGGAAGAGATGAAATGGTTATTATCCCCATTTCAGAAATGAGGAAACCTTGACTTCTGCATTATACAACTCTTTAAGTGAAGATTTCGATCCAGGTCTGTGTGACTTAAAATTCCAAGCCCTGAATCATTATAAATAACTTTTTTTTTCTATATGCTTTCTCACTTATGTCTCCTCCTTCTACTTCACTTTGAGCTCTTCTGAGTCAAAGAACATATATTTTATTTCTTATTTTCTTTCATTTAACTATTATTTTAGGTTCAGGGGTACATGTATAGGTTTGTTATATAGGTAAACAGTGTCATGTGGGTTTGTTCTACAGATTTTTTCGTCACCCAGGTATTAAGCCTAGTACCCATTAGTTATTTTTCCTGATTCTTTCCTCTCAACCTCCACCCTAAGTAGGCCCCAGTGTCTGTTCTCCTCTGTGTGTCTATGTGTTATTATTTAGCTCCCACTTATAAGTGAGAACATGTGGTATTTGGTTTTCTCTTCCTTTGTTAGTTTGCTAAGGATAATGGCCTCCAGCTGCATCCACGTTCCTGCGAATGACATGATCTTGTTCTTTTTCATGGCTGCAAAGTATTCCATGGTGTATATGCACCACATTTTCTTTGTCCAGTCTACCATTGATGGGCATTTAGGTTGATTCGATCTCTTTGCTGTTATGGATAGTGCTGCAGTGAACACATGCATGCATGTGTCTTTAATGTTTTTTTAATGCTTTGTCTAGTGCATGACACACAGTGGTCAGTAAGTGTTCATTAAATGACTGAGCAAACTGATAGATATCATAATAATATAATGGAATGTTTTTATATTTATTTATTTATGACATAGGGTCTTACTTTGTCACCGAGGCTGGAGTGCAGTGGCACGATCTTGGCTCACTGCAGCCTTGACCTCCTGAGTACAAGTGATCCTCTTGTCTCAGCCCCTCAAGTAGCTGGGACTACAGGTGTGTGTCACCACACCTGATTAATGTTTTTATTAGCCATATTTTTCATAGAGACGGGGTTTCACCATGTTGCCCAGGCTGGTCTCCAACTCCTGAGCTCAAGTTATTCACCCACCTCGGCCTCCTAAAGTGCTGGGATTACAGGCGTGAGCCACCACACCCAATGTACTTATTTATTTTTGAGACAGGGTCTTGCTCTGTCCCCCAGTCTGGAGTACAGTGGCACTATGACAGTTCACTGCAGCCTCGACCTCTTGGGCTCAGGTGGTCCTCCTGCCTCAGCTTCCTGAGTAGCTGGGACTACAGACATGCACCACCACACTTGACTAATTTTTTTTTTTTTTAATTATTTGTAGAGACGAGATCTCACTATGTTGCCCAGTCATGCCTTGGACTCCTGGGCTCAAGTGATCCTCCACCTCAGCCTCCCACAGTGCTGCGATTCCAGGCATGAGCCACTGTGCCTGCCATAATGGGATGTTTTAAATAAAGAGAAGCAGTAACATGATCTGTTTCAGCTTTCAAAAAGTGGTAAACATGGTTCTTCACTAAATACAATTTGAGAAAGAGAGAATGAGGATGGACACATTGTATTATGATGGATAGGAAACTGGCTAAGATATCAGAAACAAGGAGAAGGAGTAGATGGAACACCTCTTGGAGAGAGTCAGGTAAATGGAACAGTTCTCTAAAGATTGCTTCAAGGATCAGTATTAAGATCTTTTCAAAACAATACTAAAGAAAAACTGTACAGTAAAATATCTAGGAATTACTTTGGGGAAATAGAAAGGCAAGCTGATAGATGTTCAACTGCAGAAACATTTTGCGAAGCCATGTGACTAGCCAGAAAAGTGGTCAATGATTACATGTGATAAGTACACAATTATTTATTGAGGGAAAAATAGCCAAACTATACTTAGATGATAGGGTCAGAACTGCTGGTTTCAGAAGACTGAAAAGTAAAGTAAAACTATTTTTTAAAATTTATTTAGCATTTATTATGTGCCTACACTATGATTAGGAATCATGGACACTAGAATAAAGAATAAGAAATGATCCCCATTTTTAAGAATTTTGCAGTTCAAGCCAGGCATTGTGGCTCTTGCCTGTAATCCGAGCACTTTGGGAGATCAAGGAGGAGGACTGCTTGAGGCCAGAAGTTCAAGACCAGCCTGGGCAACATAGCAAGACTCCCATCTCTGCCAACAAAACAAAGCAAAACAAAACAAAACATTAGCTGTGTTTGGTGGTGCATGCTTGTAGTCCTAGCTACTTGGGAGGCTGAAGTGGAAGAATTGCTTGAGCCCAGGAGTTCGAGGTTGTTGTAGTCCTAGCTACTTGGGAGGCTGAGGCAGGAGAATTGCTTGAACCTAGGAGGTGAAGGTTGCAGTGACCTGAGATCGTACCACTGCATTCCAGCCTGGGCGATACAGCGAGACTCAGTCTCAAAAAAGAAAAAGTGCCAGAATGCTTGAGTTCAAATCCTTACTCTATCACTCACTCACTGTGTGACCTTGTGCAAGTCACCTCACTTCTATCTGCCCCAGTTTCCTCAGCTATAATATGAGAGTATTATTAGAATCTACTTATAGAGTTGTGAGGATTCAATGATTTTTTTTTTTTTTGAGACGGAGTTTTGTTCTTGTTGCCCAGGCTGGAGTGCAGTGGCGCAGTCTCAGCACACTGCAACCTCTGCCTCCCGGGTTCAAGCGATTCTCCCGCCTCAGCCTCCCAAGTAGCTGGGATTACAGGCGCCCGCTACCACACCTGGCTAATTTTTCTGTATTTTTAGTAGAGATGGGGTTTCACCATGTTGGCCAGGCTGGTTTCTAACTCCTGATCTCAGGTGATCCACCCATCTCGGCCTCCCAAAGTGTTGGGATTACAGGTATAAGCCACCACGCCTGTCCGATTTTTGTTTTATAAATAATTTGTAGTGACGATTCTGTACTGTCTTAAGCACTTTACCACAAAACAACTCATTTAATTCATTGAAGTGCTTTAAGGATACTGCTATGTGGGGAGTAGACTTTATGGGGCAAGAATTGAGTCATCTAGGAAGGGTAGGGTAAGCTGTGTCAGTAATTTCAGGGATATGGGGCTTCTGTTTCTCTTTTTCCCTCCTTTTATGCCTTAGTTTATAAAAAAACCCTATTACTGCAATAGTCCTTCCCCCTCCTCCAAAAAAAAAAAAAACCTGTTAGAAGCTCCCAGAAACATTTTTAACCTTGTGAGATTTCCCTAGAACTGGAAATGTTAGAAATTCCTGACCTAGGTGTAATTTTCAATTCCAATAATAGTCAATTGACACCAGTTGGGCTTTGTGTATGTACTAGGTACTATATTGGCACAGGAGGTACAAAAATGAATATAAGCTAATTACATTGTCTTCTAGGAACGAATATTGCAATAGGGTAATGAGACAATTAAACAAGTAATTTCATGTTTTCAGGCAAAGGGAAGAAGACATCCAAAGTCACGGAGATAAGCAGTAGCTGTGGGCGGGGATGATAGGGTGAAAAGCGATAGCAAATATTAAATTTTGTTTACTGTATAATGCAAAGTAGAGAATGTCCAAAGATGGCTAGAAAGGTAGATTATGGTGATTTTGAGTTTAAACTTCATCTTCTATGTTTTTTTTTTTACTTTGATTTTATCTTGGGGATATACTTAGAATTTATTTAAAAATCATTTTATCATATTTGCATAGGAAATAGTAGAAAAAGTCTACTGTAAGGAGGATACTATAACAAATTTTTTTTTTGCTTAATTAACACAAAATTGGTGCTTTGAGAAACTTTAGCCTTTTATTATTGACTAAGTTGGTGCAGAAGTAATTGTGGTTTTTGCCATTTTTTTTTTTTTTTTTGAGACGGAGTCTCGCTCTGTTGCCCAGGCTGGAGTGCAGTGGCACAATCTCGGCTCACTGCAAGCTCCGCCTCCCAGGAGATCACGCCATTCTCCTGCCTCAGCCTCCCAAGTAGCTGGGACTACAGGCGCCTGCCACTATGCCTGGCTAATTTTTTGTATTTTTAGTAGAGACATGGTTTCACCATGTTAGTCAGGATGGTTGTGATCTTCTGACTTCATGATCCACCTGCCTCGGCCTCCCAAAGTGCTAGGAGTACAGGTGTGAGCCACCGCACCTGGCCGGTTTTTGCCATTTTTTATAGCAAAAACTGCAATTACTTTTGCACCAACCTAATAAGTAGGAGTCATTAATAAATGTTTAAAATGCTTGCATTTTTGTACATAATCACCAGGTTCATCTCAACTTTTTTGAGGCATGATTCACATTCAATGAAGTGCAGGTGTAATCACCCAATGGGTTCTTCTTGCTCGCTGCCTAGACTGAGCCAATTTATCAAGGCAAGGGAATTGCAATAGAGAAAGAGTTTCATTCACACAGCGCTAGCTGTACAGGAGACTGGAGTTTTATTATCAGTCTCCCTGAAAACTCAGGGATCAGGGTTTTTAAGGATAATTTGTCAGGTGGGGGGTTGGAAAGTGGGGATCACTGATTGGTCAGGTCAGAGAAGAAATCATGGGGAGTTGAAGCTGTCCTCTTGTGCTGTGTTGTTTCTTGGGTGGGCACTACAAAGACTAGATGAGTTAGTTTATAGATCTAAGTGGTGCTGCCTGATCCATTGAGTGCAGGGTCTGCAAAATATCAGAAGCACTGATCTTAGGTTTTACAATCGCGATGTTATCCCCTGGAGCAATTCGGGGAAGTTCAGAATCTTGCAGCCTCCAGCTGCATGACTCCTAAATCATAATTTCTAATCTTGTGGCTAATTTGTTAGTCCTGCAACGGCAGTATAGTCCCCAAGCAAGAAGGGGGTTTATTTCAGCAAAGGGCTGTTATCTTTGTTTCAAAGTTAAACTGTAAGCTAAGTTCCTCCCAAAGTTAGTTTGGCCTACACCCAGGAATGAACAAGGACAATTGGAGATTAGAAGCAAGATGGAGTCAGTTAGGTCAGATCTCTTTCACCATCATAATTTTCTCAGTTACAATTTTTGGAAAGGCAGTTTCATAAGCATTTTAAATATAAAGTTTATTTTGTAGTTGTTGGGTGTGTTATTCTGCAAAGGTAACCTGACGTTCCTGGTGTGTGTGTGTGGTGGTAGGCCCCCTCCTGCCCTGCTTATGCCTGACTGGCTACCTACTATAACAATATGATTTTAACATATAAGCCTAATACGTATCTGTTGGACTTCCAGGGGTTCCTTTTGGAAAAGGGTTAAAGTTAGAATTTGAAATTTAGTTTTGGAAAGCATGTCAAATAATGCAGGTTGAAAACACTTAATCTAAACAGGATCACAAGACACAATAAATAATAGTCATTAATTAAGTCAAGGTGATAATTGAAAGCAAAGACCTTTACTCTTGAATAGAAAGGAGACTTGGTTTCCCAAACAATCAAAAGACCTAATAAAGACAGCACAAGACCAACACATCTTTTTCTCTTTTTATTTTTGTAGATTACTCAAAAGGTGAACAAGTCTTTTATTATCTCTTAGTATATGAAAATATTGTTTAAAAGAGAGAACCATATTCTACCTTTGCATCAGTATGTTGTTAATGCTAAAGCTAACTTTAATAAACAAATCCATCTAATCTCAATCAGCTTTGAACACACAAGATTCCCATAACCCTTTTTTAATCTATTAAAGAGCAGATCAGTGGCCCCCAAAACCCATTATTTTGAGTCTGGCCTTGCATCAGTGTGCTTTTGATATTAATGCTCAATTTTGATTTTGATGCTCAGTTTTTTAAAAAGTGAAATAATCCCCTTCTAATTTTAGCCAACTTGATCACTCACAAAATTCATAAGATTCATGTTCCACAAAACTTCTATTAGGTTGGTGCAAAAGTAATTGCAGTTTTTGCCATTACTTTTGCACCAACCTAATACAACCTGTTCAAACCTTCAGTTTTGTCCTATACTTCCTTTTTGATATTGGCATTCTACCTTAGGACAGAAATTTATTATACATTTATTTCCCCATTATCATTCATTCATTCATTTATTTTTTTCCGTAGACATTCTACAACCTGTTTAAATCTTTAGTTTTGTCCTATACTGACTTTCTGATATTGGCATTCTACCTTAAGACAGAAATTTACATTTCCTTCTTTCCTATCATTGATTGATTTGATTGATTGATTGACTGACAGGGTCTCACCCTGTCACACAACTTGAAGTGCAGTGGTGTGATTACAGCTTACTGCAGCCTCATCCTCCTGGGCTTTGATGATCCTCTCACTTTAGCCTCCTGAATAGCTGGGACTACAGGCACACACCACCACACCCAGATAATTTTTTGTATTTTTTGTAGAGATGGGGTTTTGCCATGTTGCCCAGGTTGTTCTTGAACTCCTGTACTCAAGCAATCCACCCACTTCAGCCTCCCAAAGTGCTGGAATTACAGGCGTGAACCGCTATACCTGGCCCTCCTTATTTAATTTACATTTCTTTCCTCCTTATTTTGTCCACACAAAGTTACCATGTAAAGAAAAGTGATCTCTATTGTCAACTTTCTTCACATCTTACTTTCTTTATATGCACTGTATTTAGAATTGTTTCTCTTGTGTTCAGTAGTTTTAATTGTATATATTGACGGTAACTTTAACTCTTAGTAACCCTAATTTCCAGTGAAGAACCTAGGAAGTAAGGTAATTTTGAACAGTTTTATACCAGTATTTGTAGATAGAACCATTTCATAATTTCTAGAAAGATAACCTTCTCAATCTGTTTGTTAACAGATCTAAATATATTTAGCTTTTCTATACCATGTAAATGACTCAGACATTTTATAATTATCTGTTACTTAATTTAGCATAACATGATTTTAAGTTTCTGAAAAAGATTCTTAAAATTATGAAAAACTTGCTTATACACTTTTATACCATTTATATTCATTTAATTTATTCATTTTTAAAAGTTAGACTTGTATAGATCATTAAACAAAGCTGGCCGTCATCCCAAGTTACTTATTTTTTTGTGTTTGTCTTTAAGACAGGGTCTTGCCCGGTCACCTAGGCTGGAGTAGAGTGGTGCTATTATGGCTCACTCCAGGCCTACAGTAGTGCACCACCATGCCCTGCTAATTTTTTTTTTTAATTTTTCATTTTTGTAGAGACAGGATCTTGCCAGTTGCTTAGGCTGGTCTTGAGCTCCTGGCCTTATGGATGTTAGCTACCATGCCTGGCCTCAAGTTATTTCTTTGTTAATAGTTTCCACAGCTTGTGAAAGAAACCCTGACGTTACATACATGCATATTTTGCTGATCAGAAGAAACAGCCATTTTCATTAAACCAACAAAGTAGTCTTATTTTTGTAATGTGAACTAAAAGGCATTTGAGTTACTTTCTATATTTCTGATAAAATACTTGATTTAAGTGCTTACCTTTAAAGCCATTTTGTTACTGGAAAGGGGTCCTGATCCAGACCCGAAGAGAGGGTTCTTGGATCTCACGCAAGAAAGAATTTGAGGCAGTCCATAAAGTGAAAACAAGTTTATTAAGAAAGTAAACAAATAAAAGAATGTCTAATCCATAGGCAGAGCAGCCCTGAGAGCTGCTGGTTGCCCATTTTTATGGCTATTTGTTGATTATATGCTAAACAAGGGGTGGATTATTTATGCCTCCCCTTTTTAGACCATATAGGGTAATTTCCTGACATTGCCATGGCATTTGTAAACTGTCTTGGCGCTGGTGGGAGTGTAGCAGTGAGGACCACCAGAGGTCACTCTCATCACCATCTTGGTGGCTTTTGGCCAGCTTCTTTACAGCAGCCTGTTTTATCAGCAAGTTTTTCATGACCTGTATCTCGTGCCAAACTTCTTTTTCACGCCATGACTAAGAATCCCTTAACTTACTGGGAATGCAGCCCAGCAACCTTATTTTACCTAGCTCCTATTCAAGATGGAGTTGCTCTGGTTTAAACGCCTCTGACAAATTCATTAGAATGTTTTCATGTATTTTGGTAGTGAAGTATCACATACACATGACACATAAACATAGAGACATACAGACACAGTGACAGAAACAGATCTTATAGCTTTATAAGATTCTTCATTTGCCAGTTTGCAGATAATCTCTCCCTGTTTAGACTACCAGTTCCTTGATTACTTATTCCATTGCCCTAAACAGTTGTTTAGCTAGGTAACCCTAAATTGCAAACATTACTCTTAGGTGAAAATTGATACCCCTAGAGGCATAGAACTTATATCTATATACCATTATTTGCTGAAACAAAAAGAATCAGTCAAGATAAGATTGCCAGGAAAAGTATCTTTAAACATAGGTAAGGTTTGTTATGTCAACTTTAAGCCAGTGTCTTTCCCATTGTAAAAATTTCTAGCTGCTTGGGTATAGGGGCATGTCCTTACAAATGGAGATTTCCTTTATAGAAGTAAATTTATTTTACATAGAGTTTCAAAGTAGCCAGCTAAGTGCTAGAAAGTTGTATTTTGGAGACTATAATCTTGTTAGATACTTAGTTCGTTTCTTGATTAGATTACTGACTTCAAAGTGGAGCCCTTTCATGAATGGGACCAGGAAAGTATTTGCAGTTTCCAGGGCCTAATAGATATATATTTTAAAAATTTCTTTCTTTTTTTTTTTTTAAAGCAGGCTTTCATTATGTTACCCAGGCTGGTCTTGAGCTCCTGGACCCAAGTGATCCTCCCACTTCAGCCTCCCTGGGACTACAGGTGCACCACCTGTTGTCCCAGTGAGGACTGCCTCAGGGCCTGATATTAAGTGTCTAAAAACCAGGCAGATTTGCAGGGCAGTGCATCTGGATCTTTAAAAATCAAGGAAACCACTTTTACGTGAATCTTGGGTCTCCACAAAGAGCAAAATGCCATGATACCAGGCCACACAAACCTCCACAGCGCACCTCACTACAAAGACATTAAGCCACACCTTTCTTACCTAAATGTTTAAAAAATAAAATAAAATGAGTAGCTGCCTATAGTAATAACCATTCACCATAAACAACTGCTGTTAGTCACCTCCAATACTGTAGCTCTTGTCAGTGACTTACCAGCCATAACATACACAAAGGTCTCTTTCACAGTACAAAGTAATCTCTGGTACTCTCAAAAGCCAACAAGTAATGCAGTATGGAAGAGAGCAGAGTTTTAGACCTGAGAGGAACCTGTCCATGACTTTTCAGACTCCACAAGAAGACAGAATACCCCAAAAAGGGAGTGAATGGTGTGTTTTTTCAGCGTTCCTTGAGGGGTCTGAGTCGTTAGAAGTCTCCTTTAGATTTCTTCCTGTGGTATCAAAATAACAAAAGGAAGGAAGAGCAGAGTGGAAAGAAATAGAACAAGTTTAGCCAGGAACAGTGGCTCATGCTTGTAAGCCTAACTGTTTGGGAGGCGGAGGTGGTAGGTTCACTTGAGCTAGGAGTTTGAGACCAGCCTGGGCAAAATAGCAAGACCCTGTCTCTACATAAAAAAAGAAAAGAAAAACATTAGCTGGGTGTGGTGGTGTGCTCCTGTAGTCCGAGCTATTTGGGAGGCTGAGGTGGGAGAATCACTTGAGCCTGGGCGATTGAGGCTGCAGTGAGCTGTGCCACTGCACTCCAGCCTGGGCAACAGAGCAAGAGCCTGGAGATTTTAAATTTTGTAAAAGGCCAGTGAAGTTTTATATTTTTCTCAGCAAAAATTATGCCAGCAAGATTGGAAACAAACAGAAGACTCAAGGTATCAAACATATTTAAAAAGGGGTCTCAATTGACTGAAAAAAAAAAAAAAAGCCAAGAACCAGGATCCAAGAGAGGAAAAAAGCAGAAAGTCCTTTCCCCCCCACAAAAGATAGCCTAAATATTACTTTTAATTAAGCTTTTTTTCTTTTATTAAAAAAAAATACATTGCCCAGGCTGGTCTCAAACTCCTGGCCTGAAGTGATCCTCTCTCCTTGGCCTCCCAAAGTGCTAGGATTACAGGTGTGTGAGCTGCCATGCCCAGCCCTAAGTAAGCTGACTTCTGACCAGAGAACTCTAAAAAATAATCTTTTCAAATCTCTTATTATCAGATTTTAACCAAGACAATTATAAAGTAGGTCTCTCATTCAGTTTGTACGGTTCTAAAACCAGCTTTTTTTTTCCCTCTTGTGCTTGCAAATGAATTATTTTATACATTTCAGAGGATCCCTGTTTTGGCTGTTGCTGCTTATCAGCATCCCAAGTTAAGTGAGTCCACTTTCCTAGATATTTACAAGAGGATGTCCCATAAGTGTTATATATAAGTCATGCTGGTGTTTCTAAAAAGAGCACTCGAATTTTGAAGCTTAATTTTTCATAATTTACGGACTTTTCAAAAGTCATAAACTGCTTCTTTGGCTTTTGAAAATTCTTCAACTTGCCTGCTTTACAGTTTGGTAAGGCTGGGGAACATATGCCACACCCCTAGCTATGTTAGAAATAGACCTTATCAGCATCTAAGTAAATAATTAAAATAACTTACCAGATTTTTCATCAAAATTAAGAATTGCTAACAGTTACCATTATAACATGTAATTGAGACTACTGAGGATAGATTTACATGCAAGGTGTGTAAAGAATGTAAAACGTGTCTTTAGTAAAAGTATAAGAAGGCATGGGAATATACATTTTTGCCTAGTTTAGGGGGTTAAATGATTGTTTTAAATTAGGTAAGATAAAGCTAAATGTTTAAACAAGTTGTGGAAGATTTGTAAAGGTTAATCTTAAAAACAAAATTCTGTGTGGGAATACTAAATTCAAAAGGGTATTGTTTGTTTTTTTTTATAAAGTGAACTTGGGAATAAAACCACAAGGGTTTCTAAAGGCACTGTTCTACTCTTTAACAAAAATTTGTAAAGGGATTGTCAAGATAAAGATAGGGTTTAGTCTTCTTCAGGTTATATTTTGGTGAATAATACTTGTGTATGTTCCAAAATTGTATGGGACTTCAAAAATCCAAATGTCTGAGTATATGCTGTCAATCATAATTAGGGTTATCGTATTGGGTTATTGTAATCCACAGAGGTTACCAAATTTCTTAGTCATTTGTGTTTTTGAATGAAACGACCTTAGGATATTTTGGCATTCACAGACAATTGTTGTCTTGTTTTGATCCTCTTCAAAAGATGGATTATAGTCCTTGAGTACAGGTTTCTGATAACTTTGGAGATTGTGAACAGGAGTTGACTGAGTGATCTGAACTAATGGAAGACTGAAATAATCCTTTTTGACTTTTTGCTTGGAACATTGCTGCTCATTTGTTTTGTATTTCAGAGTCAAGGAAACTTTTCTCTTTTTTGCAGCTTTTGACAATTGTAGGGGTGAACCAACCAGTGATCTCTGACTGCAGCTCAAAAGAAATAAAAGGGGTGGGCTGTCAAACTCCAAATGGTCATGGAAATGGAGCCTCGGATGATGGCTCCCTTTTACTGGGGACCCTTAGGTAGGACCCTGAGAGGAAATCTGCTGTTTTCCCCAAAACAACACCAATCAGCATGAAGCTGACCCTTAGATAGGATCCTGAGAGAAAATCTCCTGTTTTCCACAAATTAACACCCTCTGTCAGCATGAAGCAGTTAAGAGCAGTCATCGTCCCTATCTTAACAGCAGTTAGATGTTCCTCTTCAGAGGGGGAATTCATGGCAGTGCCATCACACTGGCTGCAGCGGGGAGGCGTGGGCAGTGACAGCAGGAGTGGCTGCGGGAGCAGCAATGGCAGTGGTGGGTCCCCTATGCCTTGCGTCCCTGAGGCAGCCAACTGTGTGTCCCCCACCCTCACATGGCCAGGCAGGACCCATCCCCAGGTCCGGAGCCTCTGTTGCTCCAGACCCTGGCCCTGCATTGCCTCTCTTGCCTGCTGCCACTGCAGGGAGAGTGTGGGGAGGAGGCAGGGCTGGGCCCCGGGCAGTGCCTTGCTCCATGGAGCCAGTGGGAGCCAGGGACAAGCAGGAACCCCACTGGAGCCTGCTGCCCTGGGGGCTGCGCTATGGGGCGAGGCCGAGATGGGCGCCAGCAGGTGAGCAGTGTGGTCGAGCAGAGAGGGGCCGTGAGGCCAGGGTGGGCCTGGGGCAGTGCCACGCTTCTACACAGAGCATGGGGGCTGGGCCAGGGGTGCAGAGCTGGGGCCGCACGTTGGGGCCCCAGGGTGGGAAGTGGGAGCGGCGCCTGCTTTGGGGACCTGGCCAGCGGAGCACCCACCACACCCACCCACCACGGGCACTGCAGTGGGTTCTTGCACCTTGGGAGCAGCCTCCGCGGGGCCGCATCCCCGGGGTCCACCCTGCATCTGGGTGACTTCCGAGCCTGACACTTGTGATGGCCAGGACTGGGGCCCACTATCTGCTCCTGGAGGCCCCCTATCTGCTCCTAGAGGCCCCCTATAGGCAGGGCTGTGAGCCAAGCGACAGTGAGTCCCAGGCCACCCCTCAGCGCCAGGGCGACAGCAGGGAGCTTGTGGTGATGTCACTCCTGCTCTGAATATTTGCCCCGGCCCAATGAGGACCTGGAGCCCCCACCCCAGGCTGTGAGGAGGCACAGCTAGTGCTGGCTGCACACTTCATGGAGCAGATGAGAGCTCTGCCCTCCCAGGTGCAAAGACCTAGGCATTTCTGCACTCTTCACCCTCAGGGGCCCAGGAAGGTTCCCCCTGCACCCACAGGCTCAGGGGTGTCTTTTCCTGCTGCCTGGCCTCTCCCTGCTCCCAGTGCCTGCTCTGATCTCAGTGCAGGGTTTGGGCCAATCTGAGTGCTGTCAAAGCCCGGCCCAGTGTGTACACACTTAGGGCAGTGCTGACACACCAGCCCCTTGCTGCCTCAGCCCTCTCTGGACTTTGGGCACCAACAAGCATGAGGGGAATCCTGGGGGTGCTGAGGGCAGCTCAGCACTGGCCTGCAGGTGCCCCTTGGCACAAACAGGCTGGTCGCCATGGATGGTGGCAGGAGGCAGACAGTCTCCTGGGTGGAAGGGGGTTGGTCCCTGGTGAGGCCCCACCTTCAGGCCAAGGTGGGCCTGAAGGCTGAGGGCTGGGCTGCTAGTCCCACAGACTGGAATGGGTACATGTGGTGCCTTTTCTGGGCTGTCTGTGGCTGCCCATGGACCAGTCGGCATACACTTCTGCTCTGAGGCCCATAAATGCCCCAGGTTCAGCCACAGCAGAGAAGATGGGATGACCAGCTCCAGAGAGGAGCTACCCTCTCTGCTGAGAACTGAGTACTTGTTGAGATGACCTGCCTACAGAGAGGAGCTACCCTCTCTGCTGAGAGTTGAACACTCATTGGGATGACCTCCCTAGCAGAGAAGAGCTACTGTCTCTGCTAGGAGCCGAACACTCATCAGCACACCCTGGATGCTGAAAGGAGCTGCCCCCTGCAGGTCCCCTCTGAGCTGTTCTGTCACTCAGTAAAGCTCCTCTTTGACTTGCTGACACTCCACTTGTCTGTGTATCTCATTCTTCCTGGTTGCTGGACAAGAACTCAGGATCCATCGAATGGTGAGGCTAAGAGAGCTGTAACACAGTCAGGGCTGAGACATGCCCCTTGCTTGCCACATTGTGGGTGAAGAGAAAGAGAGAAGAGCTGCAACCCTTCATGTATCTGAGACCTGGGAGCTCCCTGAGCCAGGGCTGTGACTTTCTCCTTGGGACCCTACGGTTCCTGGCATCTCCAAGCTTCCAGATGCCATCGTGTTCCCCAGTGCCAGCTGTAGAAGCTGCTCGCGCTACGCCTGGTCCAGCTGTAGCCTTGCAGAGAGCCAGCACCTGGAGCTGCCCACCCTGCTGCAGCAGCCACACAGAGGTCTCCTGCCAGAAAAGTGACACCCCAAAGTTCCCATAACAAAACAACAGAGTGCCAAAATGTATCAAGCAAATGTTGAAAAATTGATCTGGAGAAGTAGACCATTTTATAATAATAGTTAGACCTCAGTATCCTCATTTTCAGTAATGGATAGGACAACCAACAGAAAATCAATAAGGAAAGAGAGGATTTGAACAACACTATAAACAAATTAGACCTAACAGGCGTATATATATATATAGAACACATCATCAAATAACAGCAGAGTACACATTTTTAACATACGGTGTTTGGAAAACTGTATATTCACATGCAGAAGTATGTGAAAGTTGGATTTTTGCCTTAACATTATGTACAAAAATTAACTAGAAATTTATTAAATACCTAAATGTAAGAGCTAAAACCATAAAACTCTTAGAAGAATGGAAAAAGCTTCAATACCTTCGATTTGGCTATGATTTCTTGGATGTGATACCAAAAGCACAGGCAACAAAACAAAAGATAAACCGGGCTTCATTAAAAGTAAAAAATTTTGTGTTTCAAAGGACACTATGAGGAGAGTTAAAGATAGCCCACAGAATGGGAGATAGTATTTGCCAATTATTTATTTGCTAAGAAGTTAATATCCAGCATATATAAAGAACTTTTACAGCTTAGTGACAGAAAACAACCCAATTCAAAAATGAGCAAAGGACCTGAGTAGACATTTCTCCAAAGAAGGTAATACAAATGGCCAATGGCCAATAAGCACATGAAAAAAATATTTAACATCACTAGCTGTTAGGGAAATGCAAATCAAAACCACAATTTGTTACCACTTCACACCCATTAGGATGACTATTTTACATACATACATATATATATACACATACATATATATATAAATATACATATATATACATACATATACACACATACATACATACATACACACATATCATTGGGGTAGCTGTGCATTGTTTGTGAGGATGTAAAATGGTGCAGCCACTGTGGAAAAGTTTATCACCTCCTCAAATTATTAAATATATAATTACCATGTGATTCTGCAATTCCACTCCTAGGTATATACCCAAAAGAATTGCAAGAAGGGACCGGGCGCGGTGGGTCATGCCTGTAATCCCAGCACTTTGGGAGGCTGAGGCGGGCAGATCATGAGGTCAGGAGATGGAGACCATCCTGGCTAACATGGTGAAACCCTGTCTCTACTAAAAATACCAAAAATTAGCCAGGCGTGGTGGCAGGCGCTTGTAATCCCAGTTACTCAGGAGGCTGAGGCAGGAGAATGAGTGAACCTGGGAGGCGGAGCTTTCAGTGAGCGGAGATCGCGCCACTGCTGGTCAGCCTGGGCGACAGAGCAAGACTCCATCTCAAAAAATAAAAAAAAGAATTGCAGGAAGGAACTCAAAACAGATATTTGTACACCAGTGTTCACAGCCGCCAAATGTGGAAACAACACAGATATCCTCTGCCAGATGAATAGGTAAATAAAATGTGGTATGTACATACAAAAGATTATAATTCAGCCTTAAAAAAAAGAATGAAATTCTGAAATGTGCTGCAATGTGAATGAACCTTGAAGACATTATGCTAAGCAATATAAACAAGACACAGAATAACAAATATTGTGTGATTCTACTTATATGGGGTACCTAGAATACACAAATTAATATAGACAGAAAGTATAATAGATGGTGTCAGAGTTTGGGGGAGGGGAGAATAAGGAGCTATTTTTTAGTGGGTATAGAGTTTTTATTTGAATAAAAAGTTCCAGATATAGGTGGTGGTGATGATTATACGACATTGTGAAGGTACTTAATGCCACTGAATTATACATTTAAAAATGGGTAAAATGTTAAATTTTATGTTAAGTTTATTTTACCATGATATAGATAAAGACAGACAGGGGGGTTGTGTATCCAATGGAGTTTGATTGATGTCTGGGAGAAAATTAGTCGGATTGATCTTGGGAAAGAAAAGGGAAAATAGGGTGTTTGTTACTCTAGTCTTCATAAAAGACAGACAGGGGGGTTGTGTATCCAATGGAGTTTGATTGATGTCTGGGAGAAAATTAGTCGGATTGATCTTGGGAAAGAAAAGGGAAAATAGGGTGTTTGTTACTCTAGTCTTCATAACTCAACAAGTGGCTATAATCCTTGGTGTTAATGAACTATTTTGTTTCATTTTAATTATGTCCAGAATTGTTATTTCTAGAATAACAGGTTAACACTGGTCATTTACTTTATAACTTTTAGATTTTGTAGATAAGAATCTGAATGAAATGAAGGGCTTTTCCTTTTCTGGTCTGAAGGTAAATAATAGGAACCTTGACAACAGTTACAAAACTCTATAGTGGTGAATTCTTCCTCTAGAATATATTACCCTTGGAGATTGTTCTACAACCATTATCCCAGCATTGCTTGTTCAGAGCCAGCCTGGAGACCAGTTAGCTCCTAAGATAGCCAGCAATGCTTAGAAGACTTTTTTTCTTAAAGCAGTTTATATTTTCTGCAAAGATGTATTGTAGCAAAATGGTTAAAAATTCATGCTTTGGAATCACACAGCCTGACTTAAGTCTTGGCTTTGCAAAGAGCTGTGTGACATTTTTGTAAAGTTGCTTAACCTGTCCATGCCTCACCTTTTAAACTCTTTGAAAAATGAGTACTTGTGTTTGTCAAGAAGATTAAATGAGATAATATATATAAAGTACATAGCATATTATTTGGTACATAATAAGGTCTTGGTAAACATTAGCTGTTGCTTCTGCCATTGCTCTTTTAAACAGGCTTAGGGTCCAGACCTATAGTCAGGAGTTCAAAAGAAGGGATTTCTTGTTTAACTTTCCAAGGTTCTTCTATTAGGCACACTTTCTTTCTCTCTTAATCCTATAGTGGTGTCATTCTTATGCTACCTTTACTATTTTGCATTTAGACTGCAAAATAGACACCCAGCAACCCATTTTAATCTTGCCATATTTTAAAATTTGTTGGCACATTATAACCAGAGCTCACTAAGCTCTTCATTCATTCACTAAAAAAAAAAAAAAAAAAGTTGAATCCCAGTCTTTTTTCTTCCTGCCTCTCCCCTCAACTCCTTTTGGACCTTAAATGCTAAGAGCTGAATTAATTATACCCTTTAGCTCCAAAGTACACTGTTATCATCAGTATGTTCCTCTCAGGTTCTTTTTTCACCCTTCATACCTAAACTCTATCCTGTATCTTTCTCCCCATAAGTACCCACTCTAATGTGTCTTTATATTTCTTTAAATATGCATGCATTTTTGTAAATAGTTAATATTTGTGTGTATGTTTTTATTTATAGGGAGGTGTTGTGTTATGAATATGAACATTACATTTTAAAACTCCATGTTTCTTTTTTTTTACATTTTTATATTTTTACAAGCCTGGTTACCTTGTAAATAGCTGTAATAGGTTTCTGTCTCATGGGTGGTCAGACTTTTCCTGTGAGTTAATGAAAAACTAAGAATATATTATTAAGGATCTTTTTTTTTTCCTTTGGTTTCAAATCTTTTTTTTTTTTTTTAATTTTAAGTTCTGAGATACATGTGCTGAACGTGCAGGTTTGTTACATAGGTATACATGTGCCATGGTGGTTTCCTGCACTATCAACCCGTTATCTAGGTTTTAAGCTCCGCATGCATTAGGTATTTGTCCTAATGCTCTCCCTCCCCTTACCCCCCACCCCCTGACAGGCCCTGGTGTATGATGTTCCCCTCCCTGTGTCCATGTGTTCTCATTGTTCGGCTCCCACTTATGTGAGTGAGAACATGCAGTGTTTGGTTTTCTGTTTCTGTGTTAGTTTGCTGAGGATGATGGTTTCCAGCTTCATCCATATCCCTGCAAAGGACATGAACTCATTCTTTTTTATGGCTGCATAGTATTCCATGATATATATGTGCCAATTTTCTTTATCCAGTCTATTGTTGATGGGCATTTGGGTTGGTTCCAAGTCTTTGCTATTGTAAACAGTGCTGCAGTAAACATATGTGTGCCTGTGTGTTTATAGTAGAATGATTTATAATCCTTTGGGTATATACCCAGTAATGGGATTGCTGGGTCAAATGGTATTTCTGCTTCTAGATCCTTGAGGAATCTCCACACTGTCTTCCATAATGGTTGAACTAATTTACACTCCCACCAACAGTGTAAAAGCATCCCCATTTCTCCACATCCTCGCCAGCATCTGTTGTTTCCAGACTTTTTAATGATCGCCATTCCAATTGGCATGAGATGGCATCTCTTTTGATTTGCATTTCTCTAATGAGCAGTGATGATGAGCTTTTCTTTATATGTTGTTGGCCGTATAAATGTCTTCTTTTGAGAAGTGTCTGTTCATATCCTTTGCCCACTTTTTGATGGGGTTGTTTGTTTTTTCCTTGTAAATTTGTTTAAGTTCCTTGTAGATTCTGGATATTAGCCCTTTGTCAGATGGATAGATTGCAAAAATTTTCTCCCATTTTGTAGGTTACCTGTCCACTCTGATGATAGTTTCTTTTGCTGAGCAAAAGCTCTTTAATTGATCCCATTTGTCAATTTTGGCTTTTGTGGCAATTGCTTTTGGGATATGTGGTCACCCTACTTATGCAAGATTTTTCTGGGCCATAGCCAATGATTAGCAAGATACGTATTGAATAGCCTTTCCCTTTCTGGTGGTTTCCAACTGACATCTGTTTCAATTGGTTGGTCCATATGCTGGATGATTGCCGCAGAGTTTAGATATCACACTTGCTAGAAACTACTCTTAAGGGGGATTTCTAGGTCACATGCCATAGACGTACTTAATAAGTTTGAGTTCCTGTTTATAGATGGGTGGAATTTTAAAATCTGTCTTCCCATTTTTTAGGAGATTTTGCATTTCTACTGTATATTTATTCATTCTTTCTCTGTCAAACTATCTAGTTTGGAGCTTTAGCAGCCATTAGTTTATTGACAACTACTCCTAGCGCCTTATCCCAATAGAGCAACTACTATGTAGTTTATGAAGATTTTTTTTCGTATTTTATGTTATTGGCCCCTAACACTTACCCATTGATGTAGACAGGGCAGAATTTATAATTCTTATTTTTGTAGAAAAGGAAGCTGAGGATCAGAGGTAAACTGACTTGCTTCAGTCCACATATCTGGTAAGTTATAAACTTAGAACCAAGTCTTCTGACTTTGATTTGCTTCTACAATATCTAAAAGGGACAGGGAAAAGGATAAATTTGGGTTTGTGGTTAAAATAGGAACTGTCCAGGTTAGCTTTATATCTTCCTCAGAGCATAACGTAATGCCTAACACATAGTAAATGTTGATTTGCTTCTGCAATATCTTAAAGGGACAGGAAAAAGGAAAAACTCCAGTTTGTGATCAAAGCAGGGAGTGTGCAGTTTAACTTTATGTCTTCCTCAGATGATAACACAACATCTTACACATAAGATTCAATCAGTAATTTTTACTGAGCAAGTGAACTGGGGATTATGTAGGTATCCGTACAGCCCAGGTTCAGTTGGTCATGCCACTACTTAATGCTGTGGTGACTCTTTTATTGCAGCAATGCTTTGGCTTATAGATACACCCAGTTCTGTAAATATTCTGGCTGAACAAAGGGCTTCAGGTCAGTCCAGGAGTTCTCATGTTAAATAGTTTGGTTCATTTACAACAGAAGTAGCAACGGGTTATAAATGTACCTATATAATATGACTTCGATGGGGTGTGTAGTAGACGGCTCTTTTTTGTTTATGGTAAATCTCGGTAAAATTTCTTCTACTCTTCCTTTTTTTTCTACAGTTAGCTTTGAATAACCAGTAGCAAAGTCCTTTCTGTTGCTAACTACTACATTGCATTCAGCTGCTTAACATTTGCTTCCTGTTCCCAAGATCACCAGAGGCAACTGTAGCATTTGATGAGGGTGTTGGATTTCATCAAAAGATTTTTCTACATAGTTTGTTCCAGCTTGGGAGAGGTGGGTTGGCCTTGGCCCCCTTGTTCAAAGCTGTCACAGTTTTGAAGTCATTTCAAAACCTTCGATAATCTTGTTCCATCTGCTTTTCCACCTTATCTTACATTTCTGTACCTTCTCCAATACTTCCTACCTTCTATGATACAAATTGAGGGTGCTCTAAGAAAATCATTTAGTAAGTTAAGCTACTATTTTTAATACCCAGCCCTTCAAGGAAGTTAAAATAGCATCTTCCAGAAGTAGCACCTTCTTATTTATTTTTTTAGAGAATAGGGTCTTGCTATGTTGCCCAGCCAGGTCACAAACTCCAGAAGTAGCACTTTCTATTATGTATATTATTTTAGAGAATAAATTCTTTCTATTATCTAGCTGCAGAGATTTTATGCACAAGGTATGCTTTTTATGTATTTTATTTTATTTTTGAGATGGGGGTCTCACTCTGTCACCCTGGCTGGAGTGCAGTGACACAATCTTGGCTCACTGCAACCTCTGCCTCCCAGGGTCAAATGATCCTCCTACCTCAGCCTCCCAATGTTGGTCATGTGCCACCACGCGTGTCTAATTTTTTGTATTTTTGGTAGAGACGGGGTTTCACCACGTTGCCCAGGCTGGTCTCGAACTCCTGAGCTCAAGTGATCCACCCACCTTGGCCTCCCAAAGTGCTGGGATTATAGGCGTGAGCCACCATGCCTGGCTAAGGTATGCTTTTTAACTTAAATGTTTCCTGTTGTGTCTTTGTTTGGTCATGTTTTTCTTTAAATTACAAATTGATTTGCTAGTGCTTATGTTAATACTGTGAGCTTCAGGTGTAAGCTTTTCTCCCACCAATGGGGAGAACTTTCAGAAAGCCCGCATATGTCTCTTTTTTATTTTTTTTTTTGAGATGGAGTCTTGCTCTGTCGCCCAGGCTGGAGTGCAGTGATGCAATCTCAGCTCACTGCAAACTCCACCTCCCGGGTTCACGCCATTCTCCTGCCTCAGCCTCCCGAGTAGCTGGGACTACAGGTGCCTGCCACCATGCCCAGGTGATTTTTTGTATTTTTAGTAGAGACAGGGTTTCACTGTGTTAGCCAAGATGGTCTCGATCTCCTGACCTTGTGATCCACCTGCCTTGGCCTCCCAAAGTGCTGGGATTACAGTCGTGAGCCACCGCGCCCGGCCCCCCGCATATGTCTCTTTAAGTATCTTTTCTATTGAGAACAGTGTAGGCTGGTGATTATGGTTATTCCTTCCAATTGCACCGCTAGATTTTTGGTTTGTTTCCAAACTATCTCCTTTGTCTTACACTGTGCCCCTGAATTCTACCAGTAGCTGACATTAAGAAAGCCCTAGAGAAGTTCCTTTTTCCTTTTTATTTTTTTATGCATAGGTAAAATCCTTTCCTAACAACGGTTTCTGTACAGTAAAATCCTTTCCAGCACTTAGTCATTGGTCCATAGAAATAGCACTTTGGTACTCAGTTTTCTTTCCTTCTCTTTTTTCTTTCTTTTAATATTTTGTTTTACTGTGGTAGGAACACTTAACGTGAGATCTACTCCGAACAGATTTTTCAGTGTATGATATAGTATTATCTGTAGGCACAATGTTGTACAGCAGATCTCTAGAACTTAATTCATCTTGCATAACTAAAATTATATGCATTTAAAATAGTTAAACTCATAAAAACAAATATTAGAATGGTGGTTTCCAAGGACTTAGGGAAGAGGAACTGGGGAGTTGCTAATCAACGAGTAGTCAGTTTTTTCTACAGTGAATAAAAGTTGTCAATTACTATGCCCAAGTATAGATTGAGTAGCCCAAATCCAAAAATCTGAAATTTGAAATGCTTCCAACTCCAAAATTTTTTAAGGGCCAACATGACGTTCAAAGGAAATGCTCATTGAAGCATTGCAGATTTCAGATTTTTGGATTAGGGATATTCAACTGGTAAGTTTAATTCAAATATTCCAAAATCCCCCAAATTCAAAATTCAAAACACATTTGGTCCTAAGCATTTTGGATAAGGGATACTCAACCTATATATGGTTGTACTTGAAGTAGCGAAGGAAGGGAGAGTAAATTTGGTGATTTAGTCCTACCATGAAATAGCAGTTACCTTTCTGGTTCTGAGGTTTCTCTGCCAATACCTACACCACTGCCTCCACCACCAAAATGGAAAAAAAAAAAAAAAAAAAGAAACTCTCAAGAGATTTTTCTAAAGCACTATCATACATAAATTCTCCAGAAGCTTGGGAGAAGGAAAGTGTGGAAGGGAAGGTATGGTTAGAAATCTCTCACACTAAATTAGGAACAGTTCATTTGATAATTGGTAAAAATGCATAGCTTCTTTTGATGAACACAGCTAACCCTGCTGTAGTAATATCAGGAATGTCAGGAATTGGGTCCTTTGAATACCATCAACAGGATCAAAACTAAATGTGAGTAGAAGAACTTACATCTAGGCTGGGCATGGTGGCTCACACCTGTAATCCTAGAACTTTGGGAGGCCAAGGCAATAGTGATTGCTTGAGGCCAGGAGCTCATAACCAGCCTGGGCAACTGAGCTATGAACTCCTGAGTAGCTGGGATTACAGGCGCCCACCACTATGCCCACTAGCAAGACTCTGAAAAAAAAAAAAAAAGAAAAAGAAGAACGAACTTAGAGTAATCACCATTATTCTTTAAGTTCTATATAGATCTTTCTTTATATATTGAACAAAACAGGTGGATCACTGTGTTTATATTTTCAGTCGTGCCTCATTTGAGTGAGCAACTCAATACTCTTGATATGGCTGACCTTGTTCATGACCATTCACCAGCTCCATCACAGGCTGACTCGCCAGCATCTCCTCTCCATCAGCCTTTCCTCCCCAGTAGGCTTTCCCTCCCTTTCTCTTCATCTTCTCTAATCTCTTTCTTTCTTCTTCACCCCCATCTTTTTACTCCTCCATGATTTTCTCAGGGCTGGGCTTCAACATCGTCGGTGGGACAGATCAGCAGTATGTCTCCAACGACAGTGGCATCTACGTCAGCCGCATCAAAGAAAATGGGGCTGCGGCCCTGGATGGGCGGCTCCAGGAGGGTGATAAGATCCTTTCGGTGAGAATGGGCTTCGGCCTCCTTCACTGTCCTTTGCTCCCTAAGCCCTAGGTCCTACCCCTCCCTATCCCTTTTCCTTGAAAAGATTTGGATCTGGAAATATACAGGTTGTAGAGTTGAATGGGAACAACTTTGATCAGTCATTCTTTCCAACCCTATCATTGAGCATGGAGGGCAACATTATGCTCACCTGATAGATGAGAATGTGAAGCCCAGAATGTGAAGTTACTTGTTCAAAAAGCACAAGGCAGGAAGCAGCGAGGGACTCATATGGGGAAAAGAGATTTAAAATCCACAAATTTTGTCTTTCATCCATTACTTTATCACCTCCTTTTGTTGATTAAAACACTAATGTGTATCTTCCTTTGGGGGAATGTCAGCCCTTATAATTGGATTTAACATCACAAAACAGAAAGAAGGAAGGTTGGAGTTAAGTGTCCTTTTCAGACTCAGAGCCCTTTTTCACCCATTATTAACATGAAAATTTGGAATGCAGTTGATTTGGGTACCTGTCCGCTGTGTTCCCATTTCATCCTGCTAATGTCTCTACGAAGACATACTACATGGTAATTATTAATCTTACTATTTTCCAGAATATTTCCTCAAGGGCAGTGAAAAGATCCTTTTTTTTTTTTTTTTGAGATAGATTCTTGCTCTGTCACCCAGGCTGGAGTGCAGGGTCGTAATCTTGGCTCACCGCAACCTCTGCCTCCCGGGTTCAAGCGATTCTCCTGCCTCAGCCTCCTGAGTAGTTGGGACTACAGGCCCCTGCCACTACGCCCAGCTAATTTTTTATATTTTTAGTATAGACAGGGTTTCACCATGTTGGCTAGGCTGGTCTCGAACTCCTGACCTCATGATTCGCCCACCTCAGCCTCCCAAAGTGCTGGGATTACAGGCGTGAGCCACCGGGCCCGGCCTAAGATCTTTTTTTAACCTTTTGAATCATAGCACAGTGCTTAATAATGTTTAAGAAATGAACAAGTTAAGAAATTCAGGCAAACCTAAAAAGGTTGACTGATAAATATGGGCCCACAGACCTCAGGTCTTAAAATAAATTAGAACAAGCATACAGTCAAAACTATTAAAATGCAAAATATAACTCTGGCCCTATTGTTCATTTCTCTACCTTACCATGGGCCACAGTAATCCTATGATACTATCAGTTTGCTGGGGGATAAGGGAGTATAGTTGGAGATAATTATTCTGTAGAATTTCTTTTTTTATTAATCTTCAGGACTAGTGAAAAATGGCCAGCTTATTACTTGTATGGAAACAGTGCAGATGATTGGTATAAAGAATGGAAAAATGCTGAGGGGGTGAGATATTATCTAGAATATTCTTGGGAGAGCTGGCTTCAAAGGGCTAGACTTAAATAAAAGGAAATTGAAATAGGATAGGGCTTCGGAGCCCTATCCTCTCCAGATGGGCCATAAGCCCATGGTCCGAAGAGGAGAAAACTATTCCCTGTTTTCTTTTAGAACTGAATAGGGCAAGATGGCCACGTTGGGAAAACGTTGAAATAAATGAATGAAGTACAGACAGGAGAAGTCTTGATTGGCAGAATTAAGTATTGGTCTCAGATACATGATTTTGAACCTACCTCTATAATGAGTTAGCTTCATCCCTTAAAAATTTTTTGCTATATAGTTTCATTTGAATTTTCCCTTTCACATTACTTCTCATGCAGTTCAGGTGATTAGTGATTAAAGGTCATATGTGTGAAATCTCTTGCTCTTCTTAGTTGTCAGCTTATTGAACACCTCTCTGCCATGAAGCCCATTTGGTAGCAGAACCTGAAGGCAGAGATACAAAGGAAAAGAGAGAGAGAACATCCACCTTTTCTTCATTTGGCATCTGAGTATTTGAGTGATCAGGCTCAGCAGTATGGTTCTGAATGCCTCTTCAGGAAGACTGTGACTCCACTTAGTCCCCCAAAAAGAAAGAAAATCAGAACAAGTAGCTATTAGAGCCACCTAAATTAGCTCAAGAATGTCTAAGCATGTGTCCTCGCTGATCCATAATATAAATATAGTATCAAGCACTGCAGTATTTCAGTCCTTCTCATTGACTATTCTGCCTCTCTTCAGTCCATTAAGCTTCTCCTAGACCCTGTTTATTAATCAGTGAGATGGAGACAGTGATAATATACCTGTCTTCTCAAAAGGATAGTGAAAAGTTTAGAAGCAGATTATTTCCTTTAGCTCCCAAGGAAAGACATTCATCCAATATGAATCAACTTGGCAGTGGTACTGTAAGGAATGCTGAGAGTGGGTTGTTAAAATAAAGGTGTAGCATTTAGTTAGAATCTATGCAGCTTAATATTTTGACACATAAATTACATTATCCTCAGAACACTGGAACCTGGGCTCTGTGGATGAAGAATAGTATAGGAGTTAAGAAGAGAAAGAAGAGAGCTGTATTATTTTAAAAGCTTTGGTTAAACGTAGATTATTGCAAAATGAGAATGGTGAGAAGTATTTGAGCACTAAATGTCAGGTAACATGCTAAGAACTTGAAATTTATTTTGTTTAATATTATAGTAATCCTATGAGGTGGGCATGATTATTGTGCCCAAGCCATTTGCCCAAGGTCACACAATTAGTAAGCAGCAAGGGACTCAAACTGGTTTGTCTGAATTTGTAGCCTTTTTTTAAACCACTATGTTATACTGTTATACTGCCTCCTAAAAGGTAAATGAGGAGCTAGGATTAGTTATCCTAAAGACAAAGTTACATGGTGAATTAATAGTAGATTGCATGTATGGTTTTATATAAAAACTAAAATTAGCCCAGGTACAGTGGCTCATGCCTGTAATCCCAGCACTTTGGGAGGCTGATGAGGGTGGATCACTTCAGGGCAGGAGTTCAAGACCTGCCTGGCCAACATGGCAAAACCCCGTCTCTACTAAAAAAAAAAAATACAAAAAATTAGGTGGGCATGGTGGCACGCGCCTTGGTGCACGCGCCTGTAGTCCCCCAGCTACTCAGGGGGCTGAGGCACGAGAATCGCTTGAACCTGGGAGGCAGAGGTTGCAGTGAGCTGAGATCATGCCAGCGCACTCCAGCCTGGGCGACGGAGTGAGACTCTATCTCAAAATAAAATAAAATAAAATAAAAATAAAATAAGATAAAAACTGAAATTCGTCTTTCTATAAAGGGTAGAATCAGAAATAAGGAAATAAACCTCAATGTAAAGAAGATTATTAGATACAAGTTGAGAACCTTATGTGGACCATTTCCTCACAGAGAAAATAAATTATTGAAAGGCCTCTCAAGTTTTAAAAAAGGGCTGGAGCTGCTGATAAATGATGGGAGATAAATGTCAATGAAGAGAAAAGTAGATGTCTAAATTTATAGCAAAGAAGATTTTACTTTACCAAAATATAAGAAATATAAAGATGTAAAAAGATATTAAATATTACAAAGATATGTTACAAGGAATGATATGTTTATGTTTTGGCCATTTAAGGAAAAGGCATCCAAAGAAGAGAGGGGAAAAGCCAGGGGAAGGAGAGGCAGAGATAGAAGACATATCAGGGGCTGTATCAATCTGTTTTCACACTGCTATAAAGATACTACGTGAGACTGGGTAATTTATAAAGAAAAGAGGTTTAACTGACTCACAGTTCCACTTGGCTGGGGAGGCCCCAGGAAACTTAAAATCATGGTTTTAAGTTTTAAGTTTAAACTTAAAATCATGTTTTTAAGGTGAAGGAGAAGCAAGTACCTTCTTCACAAGGTGGCAGGAGAGAGAGAGTAGGGGGAAGTGCCAGACACTTATCAAACAACCAGATCTAATGAGAACTCACTCACTATCACCAGAACAGCATGAGGGAAGTGGCCCCCATGATCCAGTCACCTCCCACCAGGTCCTTCCCATGACATGTGAGAATTACAAGAGTTTGCTTCAAAATTCTTCTTTCTAGATCCCATTCGTTAAGAAATACTATGAAACAGCCTGTTCCATCACTTACCCGTGACATCGTATTCCCTCTCTGTCCTTAAGTGAACTTCTAGGCCATAACTATGAAATGTACTTAAGTATTCATTTATTATTGGCTTTGAAGTCTCTGTAAAAATGATGCTAAATTATGTATTAGTCTAAATTCTCATTTAGTTTTTATGTATTTTCCTATGCTCCACGCATAGGTTATTTCTCCATGTTATAAAATATGCCCCATTTTTCCTCTAGTAATGTTTGCTAGATAAACTAAAAATGTATCTCTTCCTTAGCACATACCTATTTTAGATAGCTGATTTAAGTAACATTATGTGACATGTAAATTTCCTAGAGTTATTATTAGCTATTAATTTAACCTTTTCATTCTCCCCAAGTAATTCCCACATATTATCTTGCTTTCAAGTTCTAAAATTAAGTAACTGCATGGTTTATCATGTAGTTTCATGGCGTGAACCCGGGAGGCAGAGCTTGCAGTGAGCCGAGATCGCGCCACTGCACTCCAGCCTGGGCAATGGAGCAAGACTCCATCTCAAAAAAAAAAAAAAATAGTTTCCTCTTTCTCATCAAAAGTGAAATTTCATTTTTTATGATCACTGTAGATGATTTAAACTTAAGAAAGAAAAATTTTCTTAAATAATGACAGTAAATGATTTTTAAGGCCATGTTGCATCTGACAACCATGAAATAAAAATGGCTATTACGAAGGCTGGAAATTCCTCACCCATGGTTCATTTTGTGTGTGTATGCTGGCGAGAATGGTTTATTATTAGAATAAACCATTATGGAACCTGGAATAATTTAATTTTTATTTTTAGAAAAGTGAACTAAGTTTCTCATTCCTTGTGTGTCTGCCTAAATGAAGGGAGGTGAAGAATAGTCATTCCTCAGTGAACATGACATTTTTATTAAGCTAAGGGTGACGTAGCTGGTCATACTACACAGTTGAATGTTCCATTTTAACATGGAACAAACCCCTTATATAACAAAATGGCACAGATTGAGCCATTAGCCAGCTTCATTTCATATTCTGTGTGAGTACAGTTTTTAATTTGGTGAATGAAAGAGTTGGTTAGTCATCAACATTTATCAACTATTGTACTTAATGGCCTTCAGAGCACTGTGCCAAGTGCTATGGGAAAGTTACAAAGGAAATGAAACACTGGTCTCTGCGCTTACCTTAGAAATCAGTGAGAAAGACCCAGCAGAAACCCTCATCCAATCAGCTGCAGAGATGTTGAAATATACAGCAGCATTCTTTAAATAAAATACCTCCAGGGAAGGATCTTTGCCTTATCATCTCTTTATCTCCAGCATCTAGTCCTGTACCTGGCCCTGAGTAAGCATCTAATAAGTTAGTTCCGTGAATTAACCCCTGCATTATAACACACTGACTTTTTTGGATTGGATCTAAATAATCTATTTTTATGGTTTCTTCAAAAATTGATGAAAAAAGAGACCAAAAAATGTGGTTCATTGCAGGATCTTAGTAAAAAATTACAATATCCAGAGTATATTCTCACATCTAT
Organism: Homo sapiens; assembly: GCF_000001405.40. NCBI lineage: Eukaryota > Metazoa > Chordata > Mammalia > Primates > Hominidae > Homo > Homo sapiens. Next base: position 70,382,980 of record NC_000014.9, on the reverse strand, counting down.
TGCGTATTAAATTGAGCCCATTCTTTCTCTATGTCTCTACATTTACAAGTCAGAGATCTTGTTTTAGAATATCCTGAGGCAATTCAAAATTCTTAATCAAAGAAAACTAATTTTAACTCAGCTGATTTCATAAGGCAGGAAATAGGAAACACATTTTAACATGCTAACAACCAGAGTTAAAGTAAAAAAAAGTATGTTTCCTCATCAGTTAACTAGAACAACACCATGCTCATTCTCTGAAACTTCAGAGTCAGCGAAATTTTCTAGCACATTGCAAATCTGCCATATCTTAGGTTCAATAAACCTTATTATGTCATGAGTTAAGGAAGCTGAAGTAGCAAGTTAATTCTGGGATTACTCAGCCGAGTAGCTTCTGGTACTAAAAGTGAGGTTCAAGGACCAGCAGTCTGGCCATCACCTGGGAGCTTGTTAGAAATGCAGAATCTCAGGGCCCTTCCCAGACCTACAGAATCAAACTCTGCATTATGAGATCCCGTGGTGAGCCTGTGCACAGTAAAGTTTGAGAACCACTGCTGTAGGCAAGTGTTTTTCAGACCTTTTAAATTATAACCTATAACAGGAATGACATACATTTCCTATTCGTCAAATGAGTGTGTGTGTGTATTTGAAGCAAAAGTTTAACACAACAATACTTTTCTATATGTGATGAATTTTGATATTTTGTTTTCTTCTAATTTCACTTTTTAAAAAATAAACAACTTTTTTGTTTTGTTTTGTTTTGTTCGAGACAGAGTCTCCCTCTGTCACCTAGACTGGAATGCATCGGCGCAATCTCAGCTCACTGCAAGCTCTGCCTCCCGGGTTCACTCCATTCTCCTGCCTCAGCCTCCCGAGTAGCTGGGACTACAGGCGCCTGCCACCACGTCCAGCTAATTTTTTGTATTTTTAGTAGAGACAGGGTTTCACCATGTTAGCTAGGATGGTCTCGATCTCCTGACCTCGTGATCCGCCTGCCTTTGCCTCCCAAAGTGCTGGGATTACAGGCGTGAGCCACCGCGCCCGGCCAAACAACTGGTCTTGACCCACTGGATTGATTTCACAATATTTGAAAAATTACTACTCCAGTGAATGGAAAAGTACTAATGAAATCTGTAGATGCAAGGGATATGTAGAAAGGGGTATATTAAATAGGGGAAGTAGTCTGGGAGTGGAGACCAGTTAAAAGACTGTTTCAGGCAGATTAGGTAAGAACTAACTCAGACTTGAGAATCACTTTGAAGGAGTGTTAAAGTGCAGCTAGGATGAGGCCTAAACGTTTGCATTTTTAACAGGTTCCCAGGTGATGCTAAGGCTGCTGGTGGTGGGACCACACTTTGAGAACCACTGGTCTATGTTAGTAAGGATGGTAATAAAAAGAGTGGATTCCACAGATACTTAAGGGTGAAATCTACAGAACTTGGTGGTTAGTCACTGAGCAGCTGGAATCTAAAAATGCTTAGAGGATGTCAGTATTGGAGAGCAAATTCAATTTTGGAGTAGAAATGATATTGTCAAGGGAGAAAGTCGTAATCATGACATGTTTTAGGGGCTGGTTTACCTTGGGTAAAGGATGCGAAAGGGTTCTTTAAGAAAGAATTATCTTTGCATTTCTAAAAGGTCTCTTATTTGGGGTTTTAAAGTAGTCATTAGAATAACGTCTCTTAAATTAGAATACCTTTAGCCTTAACTAGGAGGGTTGAAAGGCATAATTGGCTTAACTGGCCTATGCCCTTTATAACATCTTCTTTTGCCTGATGTACCAATGTCTTTCTTCCCTGTTAGCAGAAGGAGACTCAGATGGAGGGGCAGGATTACACACTGAATCATTGGCAGGTAAAGCTACTATTAGAATCCAGGCCTTGCAGCTTTATGTAGTACTGAGATTATGTCAGTCAGGCTTTGTGTATTTATGGCTTTTTCAGGGTGCACTCTGCAGCCAAACTTCAGGAAAGCATGTGCTATTTATTATGCTCAAGTGTACAAAGTTCTCTTAGGTATTGTAGAGTTATAATGATCAGCTGAGATACATGTTGAAGTTACAATAGAATGCAAAGTGGTGTCAGGCAGAGTTCAATTTGGACTTTAAGAGAGTTACACAGTATTCAAAGTATATAGTTGCATAGTATTCAGAGTTACAGAGTATTCAAAGAAGTAAATCAGTCATATCTAGTGACGTTATCTAGAAAGGCCTTGTCAATGAAGTGGCACCTAACTAAATTGCTTTTTTAATTTTAATGCTACTTCTGTATATACAAATGAATAGTAATATTAATATATAAATACCTTGTTTTTATTCAACTCTAACTTTTTTTTTTTTTTGAGACAGAGTCTTGCTCTGTTGCCCAGGCTGGAGTACAGTGGCACAATCTTGGCTCACTGCAACCTCTGCCTCCTGTGTTCAAGTGATTCTTCTGCCTCAGCCTCCCGAGTAGCTGGGACTACAGGTGTGCGCCACCACGCCCAGCTTATTTTTGTATTTTTAGTAGAGACGGGGTTTCACCATGTTGGTCAGGGTGGTCTCGAACTCCTGACCTCATGATTCGCCCTCCTTGGCCTCCCAAACTGTTGGGATTGCAGGTGTGAGCCACCATGCCTGGCCTCAACTCTTAACACTTTTTAAATGTGTAACATTAAATACAAACTAAATGGCAAAACCAATAAAAATTTAATTTACAACATATATGTGATAGGCAGTAATATGTTGCTGAAATAAAATCCTTGCTTGCCATGTAAATTCATATAGATTAGTGTTTTAAAGTGAAGGCTTTTGGGCCAGCCTGCTTGAGTTTGAATCCTTGGCTTTGCTGCTTTCATTCTGTTTGCTCACAGATAAATTGATAGCCTTTCTACACTTCAGTTTTATCACTTATAAAATAGGGGTTCCTAACTTACAGAACTATTGTGAAGACTAAATGAGTTAATACATGTAAGATGAACAGACAGCTCCAGACATGGTTATGTTCAATAATTCTCTGCAATTATTACTGACTACTATGGCAAAGATTATTTTAAGCCCAGTATTTCTACCATTTAATATAGTGACCCAGTTATCTCATTTGCATTTATATTACTATGAAACCTTGGCTCTGATATTGAGCTGTGACATCATTTGGCATTCATTGACATGACTGCATCATTAACTTACTTGTCTGCCTCTAAAGAAAGTACTTATTTCTTTATAATGAGAAATAGAGCTATCACATGGGCTAGATTACTTAAGTGAGCATTCCCATGACAGTCAGCAATCTCACACCTATTCTGTCAGGAGTTAACTAGAAAATTGAGTCATTGAGAATTCATTGTGATAGTTATAGAAATCCTGAAGTTCTTTTCCTACAGCATATCTAACAAGAAAACCAAGGCATAACATGAAATTAAAGTCCCTCGACTAGAAAACTGTATTCATTTCTACACTGTAGGTAGCAGGACTGATCCTTTTTAAAGATCAATCTTGGAAGATAAATAGAATTTTTTAAAAGGGAAGGGCATTTAGGTGGTAGATACAGTTTGAGCACAGGTATAAAGGTAAAAAATATGTTTTATGTCCCAGTCAGTGAGTTATGTGACTTAGCTAGAGTATAGGATATAGGAAAGGAAATAGAAATTAACCTGAGAAGATAGGTTAGAGTCATTTCCTGGAAGACTTTCCATATCAGCATAAGAAACGAGGTATGTACTCTTTCCTTGCTCCCCAGTTTTGTTTTTGTTTTTTGAGCAGTAAAGTGGTAGTAACAGAATTGTACTTTAGGAAGATTAATCTGGAGACCTAGTATTTGAATCGGTTCCAACCTAGAGAAAAGTAAATCAGAGAGAAGTGATCACAGTAGTTCAACTAAGAGTATTTTAAACCAAGAGTCTTCTAAATTGATTGAAGTTTCTTTTGCCAAGGTTAAGGACATGCCTGGGAGACAGGTATGTTCCTTTCTCCAAAGATGATTTTGAGGGCTTTAATATTTAAAGTAGGCTGAAGAGCAAAGAGGGAAGGTATGGTAATCCACATGTTGCCAGAGGAAAGGAGCAGGCAAGGGAATAGTCAATTACGTATTTTCTTTTGCTTAGTAAGTTGGGACTTTACATAAGATAAGGTGAACATAGAGTAATTACCTGTGGAGATATTTAACCTGTTATCTGTAGCTATCTGCTTGGGAACAAAAGGAAAAGCAGTTTATTGCATGACTCAGCTTGCAGCTTAATTTTTTCTCTTGACATGGTGGATTGGGGTCCCAAGTTTTTGTTTTGTTTTTAGTGTCAACAGCCTAAAATAGGCAATAGGAAAGAAAATACTGTATGAGAGATGTCATAGTGTTAGACTGTGGAGTTTGGCAATCTATTGTATATGAAAGTTGACAGCAGAGAGAGTTTAAAACTATTATTAAAATTTTAGCCTGGGCTGGGGCACAATGTCTCACACCTATAATCCCAGCACTTTCGGAGGCTGAGGCAGGAGAATCACTTGATCCCAGGAGTTCAAGTCTCCAGTCAGCCATGATCACACCACTGTGACAGCCTGAGGGACAGAGCAAGACTCTGTCTCAAAAAAAAAAAAAAAAAAAAAAGTTTGAAGGAATGATAGTGGCAATAAGAAGCAAGGTATGTATTCTGATTTTTGTGGGAAGTAATAAAGAGGTTTTGGATATGTTGAATTAGGGTCTAGCAGAGTATACAGGTGTAGGCATCCAGCAAGAAACTGGCAAATCCAGAAGTACAAGTAGGGATACAAATTTGGGAGTTATCTTACAGATTATGGTTGAAACTGTTAAAGCTCACAGTGGGAGAGAAAGAAAGAAGATAGAGGATTGATACTGAAAAACCTTGACTCACCTTAAGGAGAAAGAAAGGGAAGAGGAAATCCGGAAAGGAATAATTTAAGAACAAAGAATGCTAAGTGTTCATATGCCAAGATAGGAGAAAATTACAAAAGGGAGGAGGTGGTCTGAAGACAAAAACGGCTATAGGATTTGGTGATTGGAAGTTATTGGTGACCTTTAGAAAAACATGTTCTTCCCTTCTACCTCATACATTGTGAGATTACAGGGGAATAGAGAATGAATGCTGAAGAAATAGAGGTAGTGCATGCAAACAGTTCTTAGAACAAATTTAGCAGTCAAAGAAAGAGGAAAGAAGATGGGAGGAGAGTGATAATGCGTTCCAAGAAATAGTTGTATTGTTTTCTTTATAGAGGTGTATAATTTTAGTTGAGAGAAGGAGCAGAGAAAGATAATAGTTAAGTAATCAAGAAGACAGAGTGTCTGTGAGTTTTGTAAGGAGGTTAGAAGAAGTATGATCAAGATCATCAGTGGATGGTTTCACCTTGAAAAGGAAATAGATCTAATTCAGAGACTAGGGGAAAGGAGTAGTGAGAAGATATAAAGAAACTTTGAGGGAGAAGGAAAGAAAATGTAGAAAGCATTTATCAGAAGTCCTCAGTGTTCTCACAAAAGATAAAGGAATCAGCTAGGGAGAGAGGTAGAAATGGGGTTGGAGACGGTGGTGGAAAAAGGTCTGGAACAGCTATCACTGCGTGTTTATTAAGGAGTTCAGCAAATGAGTAGAAGCGGTTTTAAGGATGAGCTGGAGTCAGCTAGTATGGGTCTATGGTGGAGAATGAGAATATACCTTTCTCCCAGAATATTCAACTTAATGATGGCAAGAAAAGGATTGCAGAATATGGCCCAGGACTGGAAAGATGGCAGAAGATCTTGGGGACAAAGGATTCTAATGATTTACCAAGTGCTTTGTTGAAATTACAACAGGAACTCCTAGATGGGCAAGGATGCAAGTAAAGTCTAAAAAGGTTACAAGGAGGAAATTCAGTAGATGAATAGAAAGTATGAAAAGAGTGGAAATTGTTGTCAGGTTTTTAAGAGTTTGAGATATTGGAGCTGAAGCATGTCTAATATTGAAGTCTAAGTTTACGTCAATTGGTGACTGAAGTGGAATGGAGTTGGAAACTATTGGTTTACAAAGGTAGACTGTCTATAGGGCAGAAGTGTTGGTAGATTCATTCACCAACTGTATTGGCAAGAGAGAGAGTAGAGGGAAGATTATGAGTGCCTTGGAGAAGGAAGATTGCGACAAGGAAAATGAGAGAGTTGAGTAAGGGAGTGACTTGAGCATTAGCTGAGCAGAGGATAGTTGGTGAGTCAAGATGGAAGAATAACAGTGCAGAAGGAACAGTGAAATGCAAGGACACTTTGATCTTTCTTTCATTATTTACAAATCCTAGCCCTAGCTCCAGCACAAATCTCACTGAGCTTCAAGTTTCTTTATCTGTGGAAACGAGATAAAAATAATGTCTACCTCATAGGGTTATCATGAGAATTAAAAGAGATAATGTATGTAAAGTACAGAACCTATCAAAAGAAATATATCAGATGTTCTTATTGCTGCTACTGTTAACGATGACATTGACAAGTATAAAAGATATGTAATCTTGCACTAAGTGGGCTGTGCTGTGTCACTGAATACAGCATAGGATAGATAGATTATTACTTGTGGCCGATGTCACTCCTAACTGCAAAAAGTATTAATACAAGTATTCCTTCACATCTCTCACCTCTAAGTGGTAGGAGTGACCTACACTGAAATTTTTTTAAGGATTTATATCATCACAGGAATATGGTTTTTACTAAGTTTTGATTAAAAAATGACTAATTTACTAATTTGGATATAATGGATAGGAGTATCCGTGGAATCACAGGAAGTTGTTCACTATGAAAAGCCCAATAGAATGGGCTAGTATAGATTTATATGACATCAAAATAAATTGGTGGAGAGTTTCATAGAGTTATATTTCTACAGTTGCAGCTGGCAATGCCAGGGCTTAGGAATATAAAGGTTAGGGTGGTAACCTGGAAGACCATGCTATCTTTAAGGAAGCAGGTTAACACTCATGGAAGAAATGCTAATACGGTAACAGATTCCCAAGTGTCAAAACGAGACAGGCATAGAAGCTAAGAGGAAGGAGAGACCACTTTTTATTTTACATAGGTTCTCTTCAGATGGCCTGTGGAACTTCAGTTCTAGGAAAACATAGTTTTGAAAATGAAAAAAGTTCTAAGTTCTGAGCTCTAAGTAACTTTGCCCATACTCCTAGTCCTTGCAATTTGCTCTGAAGGAGTTTGTTATTTAAAGTTTGGCCATTTGAAAATAAATTGTTGACTTCTAATAGCCTTCTTCCTTTCTTACTACTCTTTGGTGTTTTGACAGGTAAATGGCCAAGACCTAAAGAACCTGCTGCACCAGGATGCTGTAGACCTCTTTCGTAATGCAGGCTATGCTGTGTCTCTGAGAGTGCAGCACAGGGTAGGTATCACTTTGAGCCAGAAACCTGGCACCAGGCTTTTGCACTGTACTTCTGAATAAGCCCAATGTGTGTAATCTTCAGTGTTGCTTTTTGTTTTACCCTCACTCCCCTGAAGAGTTTCTCAGGCAAAGGGAGGGGTCCATTGGTACTTCTGCTTATCATTGAAGGACATTCAGGCCAGGCACGGTGGCTCACACCTGTAATCCCAACACTTTGGGAGGCCAAGGTGGGCGGATCACTTCAGGCCAGGAGTTCGAGACCAGCCTGGCCAACATAGCAAAACCTCATCTCTACTAAAAATACAAAAAATTCAGGCACGGTGGTGCACACCTGTAGTCTCAGCTACTTGGGATGCTAAGGTGGGAGGATTGCTTGAGCCCAGGAGGTAGAGGTTGCAGTGAGCCAAGATCATACCACTATACTCCAGCCTGGGCAAGAGAGTGAGACCCTGTCTCAAAAAAAAAAAAAAGAAAAAAAGAGAAAAAAAAGAGAAATTCACAACAGTATGGCTTATAACCAAGGTCCTTGCTTCAAGATAATATGCCTTAAAGATAAAGCTTGACAACCAAATTAAAACAGATGATTAAAGAAAAGCCAGGTGTGGTGACTCACATCTGTACTCTTAGCACTTTGGGAGGCCAAGGTGGTATGATTGCTTGAGCCCGGGAGTTCAAGACCAGCCTGGGCAACATAGAGAGACCTCATCTCTTAAAAAAATAATAATAAAAATAAATAAAAAATTTTAAGAGTGACATGGACCAATGGAAAATAAATAAATTAATTAATTAAAAAGATGGTAAAAAAACGTAGCCAATTTTACTTTTTGGTAGGGAAGGAACCATATGTCTACCGCTGAAAACTTATTTATAAAACCATTGGATAAAACACTACAAAGATGGTGGGTTTTCTGGTACCCACTATATGCTTTTCCCTGTCACTGCCATGAACCCTTCATTTATCAACTTGGTGACCCTCTTAACCAAATCTTTAGTGTTCATAGGAGAACTCCAGGAAAAAGGAAATGGAATTCAGAATTCAGTCAAGGCAGCACCTATCCCTGCATCTGTTTCTTATTTCCAAGTGTTTTATAATTTGGATGATGATGTAAAGGGAAGCCTGGGTAGATATAATTCCTCCTATAGCATTGAGAATTTCTGAGCATATTCACAAAACAGGTTCCATGTGCCTTTAAATTAAATCAATTTGCTACTTCTTAAATAGGTGCACTCTTCCTCACTCAGTGGCTAAGGATTTAGAAGCTTAAGAACATTTAGAGGAGTTCCTAAAAAAGTAGAGAAGGCAGAACGTGAAAGATACCTGAGAAAACAACCAGTTGCAAGCAGAATCTGGGTGTAATGGATTAGAAAACAGGTTAATAAGAGATAATATTGGTCATCAGTTGCTTCTGCCTTGGCTCTTCTCTTTCTAAAGCATGGGAGCATTTGTGCAGTAGATAAAAACAAGTAAATATAGGGACACACTTCAATATGATTACAATTCTTTTGGAAGGTATGTGAGAAGTTATTTCCAGTGTTCACTTTTAAGGAAACATCCATAAATAATTCCTAATAAAAAAGACCCTTATGTTCAGGCAATTGGCCTAGCCCTAAAAACCATGCCTTCTTATTGAGCATGTCCTTTCAGGACAGCTCATCAGCAAATGAATGAAAAACATAGAGGTGGAATAGAGGGTATAATGGTATTTCATGCAGTCTTGCCTTTCAGATTGAAGTGTCAGTTTTATGAGTTGTAATGAGGCAGTTTAACTGAAATACGATGATGCCATAATTATTGCAAGTTAGCCACTAAAAGTTGATATTAAGAAGAGCTACCCTGAAAACCATCACTAAAATGAAGACCATCCAGCCTCAAAAGGAAACACTTAGCCAATAGAAAATTATAAGCACTAGGATATAATTTCTTTTTGCTTTTTTACATCTGTTCCATATAGATTCACCTTCATCTCTCTCTAGTATTAGAAATGAGCAGATGAAGGGCAAAACCCCATCTTTGGAGGGAGTTGGGTGCCTTCTGGGATCTGGAAAGCATTTTTCAAGTAATGGCATTGGACGTATGTTGGTATTGCACCTATGTTGACATTGCCCACATCTGCTCTTACTACATTTTGATGACTGATTATCTAAGTAAACATTTCCAGAAAGATCCCCCTTCTTCCTCACCAAGTAATATCCAAGTTCCCTATAAGATCATAGGTTTTATCTCATGTCTTCATTTTCCTGATACGATACACAAATAGCAAGGTAGAGGCAGTACAGAAACAGAAATTACCTGACTTGCCCTCACGGGTCCCTTTAGGTCAGCAAGGTTAAATGCCTCCCCATTAGACCTATTTTCTTTCCAAAGATCCTGTGACACTGATGCATCAGCTCAGGACAAAGAGAGGACTCCTTCTGCTAGGTATTGCTGGGGGTTACAGTTTTGGGTGGTCTAGAGTCTACAAACCCAGGTGATGTATCAACCTGGGCGTTTCAGTTGCAAACACACATTAGTCACTAGAGTTAACATTTTTCTTTCCCTTCCAGTTACAGGTGCAGAATGGACCTATAGGACATCGAGGTGAAGGGGACCCAAGTGGTATTCCCATATTTATGGTGCTGGTGCCAGTGTTTGCCCTCACCATGGTAGCAGCCTGGGCTTTCATGAGATACCGGCAACAACTTTGAAAAACTTGCTCTCTTTCAATACTCCCAATGAAGATACATTTCACTCACCCTCCACCCCTGCTATTCTGCCATGTCTTTCCCTCTCTCTGCATAGCCAGATTTGAAGTGACTGATACCCACCCCAAACCTTGCTGTTCACAGTCTCCAATTCTTCATATTCTAATGGGAAAGTAAAGGTATTGTTTGAAGGAAAACTGAAGAAAAGACTTGGCTTAGAACAAATGAGGAGTTATATATTTTACTAGGACTTTTGATAGAAATTCAGCTACAACCCAAAGAGAGAAAGATTGAGTCTTCCTGTCACCATAGGCAATACCTTTTTTCTTAGCTGGCATGCCATAAAGGCCAGCTATGTGATATTAGAGGAAGAAAGGATTTTTCTTTTTAATGATCTTCCTTGGGAAATTATTGTGGCCTTTATTTAATTTCTAACTACGTACCTGGGTGCCTATATCGACAAAGAGTGAGAAGAGCATTTTTACTTTTTTAAAAAAGCAAATACATATATACACATACGTATGCAAATATTATAGTATAATAGTGATCCCTATGGAGAATTAAAGGTGAGAAAGCTACTTTGTGGTGTCTAGGTTTCTGATAAAAGGGATGATCTTAACTGAAGAATTTAAAGAGATACTTAAACAGAGCAAATGTAGTAGGAACAAGGGAGTGAGCCTTATAAGAGGACGTTCAGTCTCATTTATTAAAATAATAACTGAGACTGGGAGAGGTGGCTCATGCCTGTAAATCCCAGCACTTTGGTAGCCTGAAGTGGGAGATTGCTTGAGTCCAGGAGACCAGCCTGGGCAACATAGCAAAACCTCATCTCTATTTAAAAAAAAAATAGAAAAAAATGTAATAACTGAAGCAACTAATTAAAAATCTTAGAAGAACAATATTTATTCTTATAACAGCCAACTATGGTGAGTTATTATAAGGTAAATTGCCATAATCCAGCGCTGCTCACATCTAAAAAACTTTGAGGTGTAAAGGTAAATCGTACCAATCTCTGGGCTGCCCTAGTGACTTTTTTGATACCTCAGAGTCCTATTGAAGAACCAGGTGGAATGATTGTGGTAAGGGCTATAGTGCTGGAGCCAAACACCCCAGCAAGAAAACTCTAAAAGGACAAAAGATAAGGTAGTGCCTCCAAGGTGGCACCTGAACCCTCTCAGGCTACTTTTTGGTTTCTACTAACAAACCTGAGGGAAGGAACTGCCTCCCTGGCAGGATGGGCATCAAATCAACTCTGGCTTCAGATTTAGTTAAAATGAGGCCGGGTGCAGCGGCTCACACCTGTCATCTCAGCACTTTGGGAGGCCGAGGCAGGCAGATCACAAGGTCAGGAGTTCAAGACCAGCCTGGCCAACATGGTGAAACCCCATGTCTACTGAAAATACAAAAATTACCTGGACATGGTGGCGCGTTCCTGTAATTCCAGCTACTCAGGAGGCTGAGGCAGGAGAACTGTTTGAACCAGGACCTGGGAGACGGAGGTTGCAGTGAGCCAAGATCACGCCACTGCACTCCAGCCTGGGCTACAGAGCAAGACTCCATCTCAAAAAAAGAAAGGCATGGATTGCTAGTATTTTTGAAAGGCTTTATACACTACATACGGCTTTTAATAAACCTTTTTGCAGCAAGAGGGAGGAAAAGAGTTTTGTTTGCTTTAGGAGGTAGGGAAATGTGGTAGGTGTTTCATGCGGCCTAGGAGGAGGATATGAATGAATGGATACTATGGAATGCCAGTGATCTCGATAAGGTGGGAACCATCCTGTTCATGTTCTTTTAAGGCTGGTTTTAAGCACTATGGGTAGCTGAATTTTCTGGCTTTAAGAAAATCATTTCCATTAGCCAAATATATTGGCCATACTATAGGCCTTTTATAATTTTGTTAGCAAGATTATCAGGACTCAGGCAATCAACTGTATTTCATTTCTAGCTTGGACAGTCTGGTAATTAAATGTTGATTGGACATCAGCTTTGTCAAGACACTTTTACAAAGAAGTACAGTGCATATCCTCCATCCCATAGGGCTTTTGGGTTCCAACTGCGAAGACAACACTCTTATTGGCCACATAGGTAGGACAGTGTAAGTAGGGGTCATGTTTATATTACAGACAGCAAAAGAGAAAAGTTACTGAGAACTGGGGCGTTTGAGAAAGTTACGTGGAGGAAAGGGACAAGTTGAAGACCCTTAAGGGCCTCACAGCCTAGTTAAGAGAATTCATAAACAGGTGAGAAGTTAAAAGTATATCAGCAGGCTAAGTATTGAAAACAATATTAAAGGGGTACCATGCAAAACACGATGCAGCAACAAAGAAGATATGCAGGTAATCATCACATTTTCTTTTAGAAATTCAGGGAAAAAAAGATGTCACATAATGGCATCAGGCTCAATTGGAAAGGGAAGGCTTTTGAAAATAAGAGGTCCGGTAAGACCTTGCCTCTGGGTCACTACTGGTATAGGGAGAAACTTGCTTTAAACAGTCCTGACATAAAGTGCCTTTTGACATCAACTATTCAATACCTTTGAGACTCACTTAGACAACTGGACTCATTGTAGGTTCCACAGAAAAACACGGACAACATTCTAGTTGTCACTCCAACCAGCCACACTAGGAGGGCACAGCCTCTGGTACCCTTTCTGTTCCTGAAGGCATGTACAGCGGCTTCTACAGCAAGCTTGCTTACCTCCCAGGATTCACCTCATGGTTTGGACACTGATTCCTGAGAGAGCCTTGAGACACACAAAGTGAAAAAAATGTCAAGCAGGAATGAAAGCTCTAGTTTTTTGCTTGTTGGTATATGTAAATTTGTTTAAAAAGTATCCATTCTGTCGTTGGTAGAAGTTTTGCTTTGGTTGATAATAGAGATTCTGATGTACTCTTATAACTTAGGTTTTCTCAGAAATTAAGTAGCATTGAAGATCAATGTAATACAGTTTTAAGCAGGTACACTAATTATATTATTGATTCTATAGAAAACTAAAATTATAGATGAGGTATCAGGATCCATTATAGGTTGTAAAAAAATTCATGTTCTTCATAGATTGAGTCTAATATTTCTTCTATAGATTGCATCTAATGTTCCTACTACCTAAATTATTACGTTCAAAGTTTTGAAAATTGAACGAAGGTATTTTTAAGTACTTAAAACATTTCTCTATCATTCTGTATTACATGTATAATTATAAGATATTGTTTGCTTCAACTAGCTGTACTTTGTTTTCCTGTGAAGTTTCAACTTATGTGTTATCGATTTAACTTAATTGTTCCATCTAGCCATGTATAATGGAAAAAGGAAGTTAATATTTGTTATTGTGTTCTATGCCAGGGACTGTACCAAACTCTGATTGGTACATTATTTCATGTCTCATAACTCTGGGATCTAAGTATTGTCACAAAGAGACTAAAAATGAGAGAAAAAATTACTTGACTAGGATTATGTAGGTGGTAATAATAGAATCAGGATTTAAACTCAGGACTTCAGATGCCAGCATCAATGATATTCTCTCACTGGAAGTGGTTCTCAAAGCAAGGTCCTGACAAAAGCATCAGCGTTACTGGGGAACTTGTTAGAAAAGCAAGTTCATAGGCTGGGCATGGTGGCTCATGCCTGTAATCCCAGCACTCTAGGAGGCCTAGGCAGGTGGGTCACTTGAGCTCAGGAGTTTTGAGACCAGCCTGCACAATGTGGTGA